>NC_000006.12:8696363-8847878 GCF_000001405.40 Homo sapiens | reverse complement strand
GTATAGAATGGTCAAGTGATTATAAGCAAAACAATTGGGTGGATCCGAGGTTCCCTTGGCCAACTTGCACAGAGCTTTGATTTGCTTTCAAATTCTAAGTCTGTGCAATTTGCTCAGGGAAGGAGAGGAGAGGAGACAGTGTGGATGGGGGGAAACAGTCTGTGCAGCTACAGGGTAAACATGGAACTATTTTGGGTAGTCTTCTTTTTGCCCAAAGACTTGGGAAGTTAAACATTATTCTATTTAGCAAGAATCAGATCAAATGTGAGACTTAAAGACATTTTACGCTTCACACAGGCTATTCAGGGTGATTTATTTAACCTTATAACTACCTCCATCTCTCTCCTCTCATACACACACACACACACACACACACACATACACCACATGCACACATACACACACACACAAAGCCCAAAAAACAAAAGAAAAAACTAGTTTACTAGTTTTACCAAAACAACTAGTTTACTAGTTTATTAGTTTTCTGTGACCACCAGTGGAAAAGTTTGAATTTTTTTTTTCTTGGCAGAATCAGTTTGACCACTCACCACTGAGATTTACCAAAGAGAAAGGAGACTATAAATAGAGAACGTGGAGAAAATATTTCGGTAATCTAAAAATGAGACAAAACAGATCTATATATGAGAGAAGGCAGTGAGTGTAGCAAAGGAAAGGTCTACAGGACTTAGATCCGGTTACCAGAGGGAGGGAGAGGTGGAAGAAAGCTAAAATTAATTAAGAGATTTAGGGCTAAAATCTTCTTGACCTCTTGCCCGATTCTCAAGTTAGCTTGCAAAACTATATTCAACTTACGCTCCATCCCTTCCAGCTGGTTGATTCAGAACCTGAAAATTGTGTATGCTTTGGTCATTGAGATCAATTCCAAAGGGCTGTTATGTGAGATCCGAACTTTCTTCTCTATGTCTGATGAGTAGATCCTCCTGACCCTGCCTAGATTGTGTGCCTTCTTCTTTCAGCCATAAAGAGGATAACTGTTTCTTTGGTTTTGGTTTTGGTTTTGGTTTTGAAACAGAGTCTCACTCTGTCACCCAGGCTGTAGTGCGGTGGCATGATGTCGGCTCACTGCAACCTCTGCTTCCTGGGTTCAAGTGATTCTCATGCCTCAGCCTCCCAAGCAGCTGGGATTACAGGTGTGTGCCACCATGCCCGGCTCATTTTTGTATTTTTAGTACAGACGGGGTTTCACCATGTTGGCCAGGCTGGTCTCAAATTCCTGACCTCAGTTGATCCACCCACCTCGGCCTCCCAAAGTGCTGGGGTTACAAGCGTGAGCCACCACACCTGGCCATGATAACTGGTTTTGCTTCTCACCATGACACAAAAGCTATTAAAGCACTAGAAGGAGACATTATGAAGGCTCTTTGTGATCCAGATTATGAGCTTCTGAATCACTCAGACGCCCAGAGATTCTCAGGTAAAGCATCCACTCGGTAGGAATTGAGTTTTTCAGCACATGCAACAACATGGAGTTTCCATAAAACTTTCAGAGATGAAGTTTCCTGGGTGCGATCCAAACTGTCTTCCCTGGGGAAAATGTTAGGCTTCATGTACAGCTAAATATTCCATTCACAGTTATAAACAAAGAAACGAGATCAAAAGAGAGAAGAAAAGAGGGGTGGTGGGATATAAGGATAACTTGGAGATAAGACAAGCTTACATAATCACACAATAATTTAACAAGGAAATTTCCTTGGAGTTAGAGGTTGCTAAACCTTCCACAGGAGCAACATTTTCTTCCTACCAGCAAATTCAGTGTTGGTTTCTTAAAGTGTTTTCCATAGAGTAGCATGAAGCCACATAAACCAAAATCATGGTTAGTTGTTCAAACACGTGACAACTATTTGTGCTTTTTGGCGATGAGTGGTTGAAATAATTAGGATCCTTTTCTAGTTATTGACGTGCCAAGCCAGGGGCAGAGGGTGCCTTTCTGAGTGGGGAAAGGAAAAGCCAAAGGCAACTATTAGAAGAGACTGTTACACAATTTTGAGCTAACATATGGAATCAATAGCCAACATGAGCAGCTGTGCTCGGCTGTGGAAAGGCCTGAAATAGTGTAGTCACACTGTAACCAATAAAACGAATGATTGACTAAAGGAGAAAGCATATGTGTGGAGAGAGGGGGAGCTCCAAAGCAGGATTAAGAGATGCATTTACTTTAAAAAATAGAGTACTGAGAAACAAACCATGTCATGGTTTTCTTCTTGATTGACAGTGAAACATACAAGAGGCAACACTGGAGAAAAGGTCTGGACCCAGGGTTATGCAGTTAATTTCTGACTCCACGCTCACTAGAAGTGAAGAAAGCTTCCCCTGCCAGAAATCAGAAATAAGCACCATGAGGCTTAGCTAGCACACTCTGTAGTCTGGATGCCTTCAACTATCCAGTGGGCATGCTAAGATGTCACAAAATACCCTCAGATCTACATAATGGGGAAACAAAATCCACTGTAAAAGAAAGGGCCTATATCATCTAAAAACTAGGTGATCTGTTTCTTAAGAACTCAAATTTGCCTACTAACACATTTCACAACTAACAAAGAGAAAATACTTTTATTGATGCTGCCAAAAGAAAACATTGGTTCTGTGTGTTTTATTTATTCACACTAACATTCATTTGGAAATCAAATAGCTTGGATTATATCTTCCCCATGTGCCATGACTCAGAGGTATAGTATAATACCAAAAAGCTTACTCAATCCCTTCATTTGCCATGTGTAAAATAGAAATAATAATACCTCTACATAACCAGGCAAATTTACTAGGGCAACAAATACCAATATAGAGAGCTATGTAAAGTATTATAAATTTCTTCAAGGAGAACTAAATGCACATTTCAAATAATATATGTATTATTGCTAGGAATAATAATGTATGTATATACCAATCTTCCACATTAAATAATCATTATTCTTTTTTAAATATGGTGCATTTTTTTTCTTGTGAGGGTGAAATTTGCATTCTTTAAGTATAAAATCCACTCCCATCTAAGCTGATAGACAACGCATTCACATGACTTAACACCTTTTCTCCAGCACTGAGTGGGCTATGCTGTGACTTAATAGTGATTTTCTGTGTGTTTTGAGTGAGATTCACGACCGTGTCAAGCCAAGAACTCTCACTCAAATGAGAACCACATTATTATTTTTTTTCCAAATAGAATACTTTCCTCGCTCAAACAAGCAGAAAGCCTTGCACCTGTGTTTAAAAACTGTAAAACTCAGAGATTGTATTCACACTCTGGAGTGAAAGAATATTGCCCAGGGCCTCTTGGATCCTCTCCATCAATTTTCTGTAGTTTCTTGCCTGAAGCCATCAATGAGGAACCTCATAAACCCGAAAAATACTAAACACCAGACAATCAGTAAACAGGTTGTTAAAAAATAATTGAAACTCCCATTTCCACTGCCCATCCGGCAACTTTGTTTGTATCTAATTACTCCTCATTGTGCATCTCTGATGCATGGACAGGATGCAGAGTATCAGCATGACTTCTTCTGGAATTAAAACCTGGCCATCACATGTTACATTACTTCAAAGCCTTGAGAAGTTCGGGTCAGGGTCAAGATGAAAACCAACAGCTTCACCTTCTCATTCTTGTCCTATAGAAGCACTGTGATGCACTACCCAGGGCTTTTGTGAGATGCTAAATACTTTACACATTTGCTGTTAGAGCTAAGGTTGTATTTTTTAGTTTTAATGGTATTTGGTCCTTTATTAAGTGTGTGTAAGGGTAAGAGGATGAGACGACCCAATGGAAAGGCTCTGCCACCGGGGAAGGTGGAGCAAAACAACTCCAAGTATTTGTCCAAGGATACAATAATGATACCTACAAAAGGGCCATACCATATTATTCATCTCTCTCTTTGCAAAAAAAGAGAAAGCTTATTGTTATGAGAGTGAGAGGGAGTGAGAGAGAGAGAGAGAGAAAAGCCTACTCACTGTATTAGTCAGGGTTCTCTAGAGGGACAGAACTAATAAGGTAAATGTATATATAAAGGAGAGTTTATTAAGGAGTATTAACTCACATGATCACAAGGTCCCACAATAGTCCGTCTGCAAGCTGAGGAGCAAGGAAGCCAGTATGGGTCCCAAAGCTGAAAAACTTGGAGTTCTATAGTCAAGGGCAAGAAGCATCCAGCACGGGAGAAAGATGTAGGCTGGGAGGCTAAACCAGTCTAATCTCTCCACATTCTTCTGCCTGCTTTTATGCTATTCCTTGCTGGCAGCTGATTAGATGGTGCCCACCTAGATTGAGGGTGGGTCTGTCTTTCCCAGTCCACTGACTCAAATGTTATTCTCCGTTGGCAACACCCTCACAGACACACCCAGGAACAATACTTTCCATCCTTCAATCCAATCAAGTTGACACTCAGTATTAACCATCACACTCTGTGTGGGGCCTTTTTGTATGGAGTTTGCGAGACTACTATAACTTGCATATTGTCCATTGCAACTTCATGCATTTTCCATGGGTCTTCGTCTCATTTTGGATTCTCAATGAAAATTTAGGCCCCATCCCTACAGACAAGCAGTCAGGCTTTCATCATCCAGGCTGGAGTTTTGACTGGGGAATCTGAGATCCAGAGAGAGTGGCTCTCAGAATAGATACGCTCCATCCATGTGGTTATAGCTTCCAATTTGGTCCTCATTTTTAAAGATATTGAAATAACAACAATAAAGTTTACCAGGCACCAGAGGAAAGCCATTGACATAAAAGATGGAGACTCACACAAGCAGAAAGACAAAATCAACAACTTAGAGGAAACTAAGATTATGCAAGCGGAAGAAATCTTCCCTTAAAAGCTATGATTTATATTTTCAGAAAGATTCTAACAGATATAGCAGCTACAAAATGGGGACAGAATGCTATTAAATAGAGACAATGAGAAAACACAAAAAGAGTTCTCAGAAATTTCACATCTAAAGGAAATTAGTAAAAAATTCAATAAAAAGCTGTAAGAAAGAATTTCCAGGAAGTAGAAACAGAAAAGAAAAACAAACAGAAAATACCCCCTGCAAAAAAAATTTTTTTCAAACATATAGAGCAGTTAAAATGGGAGGGAAATATAATAAACAAAACAAATAGCATTTTCTAGTAGTAAATGGCAAAAAAAAAAAAAAATCAGATTAAAAAGGCATATCAAGGGCCCAGCATAAAGGACAATAAAGAATCAACAATTTGGTAAATTGTCATAAAACTGTGGCAACGTTGAGGTAAAACAAAATACTGACAACTTCCAGAGAGACAAAATAGAAGATCACACAAAAAGGATTAAAAATCAGAGTGGCATTGAAATTCTCTAGTTAGAAAACAATAAAACACATTACTTTCAAAATTCTGAAAAAGAATCATTTCCAGCCTAGAATTCTATAACCAGGCCAACTATCCACAAAATGTTGGACAAATAAAAGTTATTTTCTTACATTGAAGGCCTGTCAAGGGCCCAGAACAAAGGACAAAACAAGAATTCTCTAGTTAGAAAACAATAAAACACAATGCTTTTACTGTTTTTAACTCTACCACTATCAAGGGACTCAATCCAGAAAGAGGGACCGTGTGATGGAGTGGTCATAGCATGAGGTAGGAATTACTCTATGCCATACGAAGCACATAAACTTGGACAAGTTGCTTTGCCTCCATAAGCCCACGTTTCTGCTTCTATAAAATGGTGACAACAATAGATGGCTGCAACATGGTCATTGTGAAGATAAAATGAGATAATACACAGTGCTGTTTAATCAAGTTAATCTTTTGTTAATACCGGTGATTCCAGTACATTCCTATTTTTTTGCATAAGCCTCTTCTTTTAAGCCCTTTGAATGATGATTATTTCATTAGCAAAATTCCCGAAGTCCCGGCATGGTGGTTCAAGCCTGTAATCCCAGCTCTTTGGGAGGCTGAGGTGGGCGGATCACTTGAGGTCAGGAGTTCAAGACCACCCAGGCCAACATGGTGAAAACCCTGGTCTCTACTAAAAATACAAGAATTAGCCAGGCGTGGTGGCACATGCCTGTAATCTCAGCTACTTGGGAGGCTGAGGCAGGAGAATTGCTTGAACCCAGAAGGTGGAGGTTGCAGTGAGCCGAGATCACACCACTGCACTAAAGCCCGGGCGACAGAGTGAGACTCTGTCTCAAAAAAAAACAAAACAAAACAAAAAAAGAAAATTCCTCTAATAAGCATTACTGTGTACATCTACCCTTAAAACTTAGTTTCAAATTGAAGTCTTATCTTGACCTATCTTGTAGATAGTATTCAAAAACGTTCCTATATAAGGGAATCTCTTAAAAGTATTCTTAAATGAGAAAAATTATGTTTTAAAAATATTATACATTAAATTTCATATTTCAACCTCTTTGGTGATGTTATATTCTGAATCCATCTTGTTTTCAAAGGCAAAGTCCCCAGTATATATTGCATAGCAAGCGTTCATACCAACTTTTTTTTTCAATTTCTATTATTTACTCAAAATATTATGAAAAACATCATGCTCAGAGCTGAATACATGTTTTCGTTACTCTTCCTTCCTGTTTAATTTTTTTCTGGAGCCTACTTCAGGATATTGGAAATGAAAATTTAATAAAAAATATACAAAAGCCAATGTGTTTTTCAAGGAAATTTAATCTATATGTTCTGATTCATTTCCATTTAAATCATCAAAATGTTACTTTACGAGAACCATTTTAAATATAAGGAGACTCTTGTGCCATTTGAGCTTCATTTTATTTTTATTAGAAAGTGCACTCTCTGTTGCTTTATATAAATGCACCCTGAAGTTTGAAGCAAACCCCATTCCGCTGTCCAAACAGGTTTGCATTTTATACAGATACAAGCTTCTCTTCATGGTCAGTTTCATCTCACCTGACTGGCGGATGCTTCTTTGAAAGGTAGGAACTAAGAGCTAATTGCAAACTACTTCTTTTGTCTTCATTTTGCAAGATACTTGAACACAGACACATGCTTCACTCTTGATAAAATCTTTGTGTCCCTCACCTCTCAGGAGGCCATGCACAGAGTTGCTGGTTCAGTGAGTTACTGGGTAGTTTCTTAAGACACCTGCAGTAAGACACCTAGCCATCATGAATGCTAAACAAGCCCTATTTCTACCTAATTTCTGCACTTTTCCTGCAGTCCTCAGGGTGCACGTCTTAGGATGCTCGACTCCCAGGCATGTTACTCCTCCACCAACCCAGGGGCTCAGCAAGAGCCATCGGTTTATCCAAAGTGATTTGTAAATAAAGGAAAAGTCAGAATCACATCATTCTTGTGGTCCGACACATCATACCTCTAACCAGCATGTCATTCTAGAATTATTTCTCCTCCCTGCCTCAGTTCCTCTCTTTGTAAAAGGCCATATATTGCCATCATATTATTTTTGTCTCATTTAAAATTCTTTTATAATATTTTAAAACTAATAATAGTACTATTTCTATTTTGCTTATTTTTTTTCAGAAAACTTCTATATTTGTTATTGCCCTATACTTTGAGAGAATCCAAAAATCTATTTCAACTTTAAGCGGACCTAGTCAGTGTTTTATCTATTGAATAAATGTATAAAGTTACACTTTTGAATCTGTGAAACACATTGATAATTGAGGCATCTCAAATGTCTTCTGCCTCATTAAGTTATTATAATATATTCAGTTCAGCTTTATTATTGAGAGCATTTTATTATATGCTGATTCTTTGAAAATTAGAAACCATAGTGGCTATATGTAGAAACTCCCTTGTTGAATAGAATTTTGGATTAGGTAGATCTCTCTGTTTTACCATTACTACGATCACTGTGTTGCCTTAATAATAATAATACTGATGGTAATCACTATTATGTGTGGAATTCTAATCATGCCCAGGCCGCTGAGCTGAGCAGCTGACAAGCTGCATCTCCTATAACCGTCACAATATTCTATGAATTGGTTGTTATTTTTGGCTTTAATTCACAGATGGTAAAAACAAACCTTTTAACTATTACGCAATCAGATAGCTTAATTGTTATTCAGCAAATATTCTCACTGTCATATCTACAATGAACAGAATGTATTTCCCCTGAATGTTGATATTGACCATGGCCTGGGAACTTGTTTTGGAAAAGGAGGAGCTAGGCTTGTAAAACGCTGGTGCGGAAGAGCTTTTCCCGTTGGGCACCAATCATCATGACAGAGCAGAACTCAGACCCAGGCATGTGTTGCTGTTTCCTACATGCTTACCATGTGCCATGCGCTTAGACAGTGCCTTCTCAACATGCTACATGCATTAACTTATTCCAGCCTTACCACAACCCCATTTTGCAGATGAGGAAGTGGAGGTATAGGTTTTAAGTAACTCACTGGTTCACATAGCTACTAAATGGTGGTGCTGGCCTTCGGCAGAGTCCAACCAAAGTGCACACACTTAACCACAACATTGCTGCCCTCATATTGGCTTATCCATACATTTAAAGGCCTTTTGAGAAAACCAAGAGTTACTTTGAAAATGGGATTAGAGTATAATGGGTTCAAGGCTGAAACTGGCCTCTTTTAGATGGATGTCACTCTGAACTTTGGCATTCTCATTTGTAAAATGGTGACATAAATAGTATCCAGCAACAAGGACTGTTTCGAAAAACGGTCAAGATCATGCAGAAAAGAAAATAAAAACCCTCAGTAATCCTTAGCTATTATTATTACATAAGTCATAATGTAACAGAGGAAAATACTCCTATTAGAGCATATGTAATAGAAAATTCTAGTGCAAACTACTTTGCAATTCCACAGACATCATCTCCCTTCCCCTTAATAGTTATAACCAAAATGAATGGCGTGGACATTGTTTTATACACCAGTTTTAGAATTATACAAGGACCTAGCTCTATCAGGAGCCAATGAAAAATCGTACTGTGATTTTCCATTCCCTTTGTATATATCCATGGAAATTCAGTCGGCTCCCTCAGTCGTCTTATCTGTGCTTTCAGCAACCCGTTAAAGACCAGCTAGTGCATCTGAAAGTTCTTTTACTCAATCAATGAGCTTGTTGCCATGGCAGGCTAACATGAGGTGCCATTGATGATGACTCGATTTCCTCTCGCATCTGAACTGGAAAGGGAGAAGACAGACTAAATGAAATCCCATCCATCTTAATGAAATACAATTATATTCTCCTTATTAATCATTTACGAATCAATATGTCTCTTCTTGGTGAACCTTACCAGAATTTGTCATTCCATGCCAAGCCTCAATACATCTTGTCTTGTAGTGATTTTTATAAGTTCAGTCACCTGTGTCCCAGGGTAAATAACAGTGTTTTCTCATACTGCAGAGCGAGGGCAAGAACAGCAATGACAGGGTGGATCGCAGAAATCCCCTCTGAATGCTAAGCAGCCCGCTGAATATTGCCTTCACGTGCATAATTGAAAAATGTACCGTTTTATTTTTAAATAGCATGAAGGAAAATGGATTACCTTAGAAAGGGGCTTATTCTAGTACCATTAAGTGGGAAAACCTCTTGGGTATTCTTACCCATCGACTGCTATAATCTTGCACGGGCTTATCAACATATTATGTATGTATATGTATATACATAGAGAGAAAGAAAGATTTCTTAGAGCATAATTTACAGCCCACCTCACTATACTTTACATATGCATATAATGTATCAATTTAACATTTTACTTAACAACAGTCACCTGTGGAAAAACTACTATTGTTTATATCTTCTTAATCCGGATTGCAAGACTAGACTTGGACTTCATGCATTCTGTGGCTGCTTTGTAGCTATTGTTTAATTAATGAGAACAAAGCAAAGAATAAGTAAGAAGAGAGAAAGAGAAAGACAGTGATTCTGGCGGCAAGAGCAAGGAATAAGTGAAGAGAAATAGATTGTTTTAAATGTTAAATTGGTTTTATGAGTGAGAAGTAAGTCATTCTATGGTATCTATCTCACCAGGGGATTTTTGTTATTTGTGCCAATTTTAACTATGTCTGAACCTTTATTGATGAGGAATTGTATAACCAGAACAAGTTTAAGAATACCTGGGGCATGCTCCAAGTTATATACATATGAGAAAATGCTTAACACAGATTTGATAGCTTTCCCACTTAGCATACATACTATCTATATATCTATTTTTATCTATGTCTTTATCTGGAGCTATAGCTGTAAGACTGTCTTAACAAGACTATATGCTTTTCACTTTATGATTGAAAAAAAAATACTAGAGTAAAATAATCTAGGAGCTTTACATTAAAAAGAAAGGTTTGAAATGCAAGAAAATAAACACCTCACAAAGAAACATCCTGTGTGCTGTTGGCACCCCTCAGTGTCAGCCTCCTTGAGCAACATAAACGCAAGCACTGAGGCGTGACTCCAATGCACCCTGAAGTCAATGAAATTTGAGGTCAGTGATTTTAAAAAGTAGCTGGAAAATCTGAAAGGATTGGTGCAGTTAGTTCAGTTGCAGACATTGTTCTGAGTAGGTGGCTTTTAATAGTCCCCATACCAGAGACTCTTAAGGGTCTGGGAAACCCTGTCCTTTTTCCTCCCCGTTACAATTTCTTCTGATAGTACTCAAACTCGCTGCCTAACACGAATTGGCAAGGATGAATTAATTCAATTATATGATTGGTTCATTAGAGATTCAGGTTAAGGGTGAAATCCAAGAAATGTGTGAATCAAAGAGGATAGAATGCCTTTGACCTTTTAATCACTTCTGTGCCACATTCTGTCTTCCCTGCAAAACAGGAGAGGTTTCTCCTTCCTTCTCCTATGGTCTTCCTAACCATAGCTTCTAACCTCCCTCAAAATTTATTTTCCAAGGCTCTCAAACCCATGCTTGTAATAGGAAAACCAGAGATATATACCTGGGTAAGATTGCAGCCCCTCCACCACACTTAAAAAAAGAAAGAAAAAGAAGTGGCACTTTAAAATCAATTTTTTTTTTTTTAGACGGAGTTCGCTTCTGTTGCCCAGGCTGGAGTGCAATGGCAGGATCTTGGCTCACCGCAACCTCCACCTCCCGGGTTCAAGCCATTCTCCTGCCTCAGCCTCCCTAGTAGCTGGGATTACAGGAATGTGCCACCACGCCAGGCTAATTTTGTATTTTTAGTAGAGACGAGGTTTCTCCATGTTGGTGAGGCTGGTTTCAAACTCCCGACCTCAGGTGATCCACCCACCTCGGCCTCCCAAAGTGCTGAGATTACAGGTGTGAGCCACCGGACCTGGCCCATGCCCATATTTTTAATGGATTCCTACTGCTTTCCTCCAGGAAGCCTTCTTGGATTTCCTTGAACAAAAAAAAGTACAAATACCTGAGTTTATCAGTCTTCCTATTGACAGTCTGAAGAAGTCTTTACAGAAGACACTTTGAAGACGCTAGAAAAGAGAGAGAAAGAATTGTCTTAATATTTAGTGATCCTGAGAAAATCAGATTTGGAATAACCCTGTAAAGGTGTTCCCCCTGGGACTTAGCGTGAGTGCTCCACAAATATTTACAGTTGGATAAGGTTTTCCAAGGGGAGAATAAAATGCAAAGTTGTCAATAAATAAAATTTGAAAATGCTCCCTACACTTTATACTCCATAGGGACAAGTTTATTTTGTCTTGCATAGTATTTCAATCCCTCAATCATATGGTAAGAGAAGAATGTATCACCTTCTGAGAAACATCATGCATGGAAGGAAGGATTTTCTCTGTATCTCCTCTTAACCCGTATGGCAGGAATTTTGTGGTTGTTATTGCTAGTGAGGAGTTAGCTTGTTTTCTCCCACTAGGTTCAGGAGGTCAGAGACTGATTGTTTTATCTCTGTACTCAACACATATCATACTACCTGGCTCATAGTAAAGGCTATGATTTTAATAAACAAATATATAGCAAGTTTCTCCATGTAACAAATTAGTACATACATTTTTGTGATAGACACAGCCCTTGCAGAATGGAGATTTTCATCATCACGAATGTTCTAAAGTGAGACATCCCACAGGCTACTTTTGTTTTTAGTACAGACACAAAGCTAGTCATAAAGCATTAACACAAATCTAGATCACTGGTCTCAGTTTAAAAAAAGAATGATGCTCTCATATTCCAGTATTCACAAATTCTAAGAGATCTCTCTTTCATTCTCCATAATCCCAAACCTTTGCACTACGTTATTTGCAGGGTTATAAAAGGACAGTTCTGATCAGTTTGCCTTCTATAGGGTATCTGCCATTATGGCTGAAGAGCATGAGTCTAATCTACAAATAAATGTGGTGCTGATTTCTGATTGTTGCAAACAATAAAAGAGGTTTTACAATTGCAAATGGTTTAATTTGTTCAAACAGTCCCTTGTTCATTTTCGGTTCCCTTTACTCTCATGTTTCAGTTCACATGCAAGTCTTCTTAATCCAGAGCTCCAAAATCAAGATTGGTGGGAAGAAAATCCAATTGTTTAGGGTCAAAATAAAGACGTTTTTCAAATGCCAAAGAAAGAGAGCAGGGTTATTCTACTTTGATGTTAATACCATGCCTTTTGTAGTTTTCCTGTTTTTTTGTTTTCATCTTCCACTGTCAACAGGGCACCAGATTTTATAGGCAGCTTAACACAGAGCAGATGTTGATTAAAAGAAATGTGGTTTTGAGTGTGACATTAAAAAAATATCATTCTCTCCTGTCTAAATGTTATATTCTTAATGGGTTTAATTTTTTATTAGTTGATATATAAAGAAACAATAAGCATACATTCAGTCTTAACTGAACCATACACAGCTCACTAGCTGGATCATGAATAAGGCAAGAAAGGTTCACATTTTAATATTTAAAAAAAGAAAAAACATCTTCTACTTTGTGCAAAAAGCATGTGTTTCCTGGCCAAGCCTCTTAGCATTTGTATTTACTTTATGAATAGAAATGGTTTAAACATGGTAAAAATGATCCTGAATGCATGTTTTTAAGATCATCTCTAAATGCACTCTTAATCCGAGTATTTCTTTTATTTTGATCAATGATGACATACCAAGAGCAACTTTGGGACTAATAAATCTGGAATAAACGTGACAAAGATGAAAGCAGAGTTGGAACCTTGAAAGACAAAAACAAACAAACAAAAAAGCTCCAATGACTTTATAGACACCATCATGCAGGAATTAAATAGAGGCTATATTTGGCACAGCTGACCACTCAGGTGCTAGAGGCATTTCCAAATGACTGAGCCAAGAAAATAGTGTGTCCCTACTTGTGCTGATATAAGTTTGAAAGCTTTGATGAGTAGATAAGACTAGATACCTGACTTCAGCAGTCCATGACCCCAAAATAAATGAATGTAGAAGGCAAATTTTTCACAATTGGAATGAGAAACCCTGCAAGATCCATAGCAAAGTACCTGTGTGATCATTTACTTGCATTGCCCAAAACCGAGCCATGTGCCAAAAAAGGCTTCACTTTGTTCTTTGGTACACAGATCAGAAAGGAACATATGCAGTATTGTGTGTTGCTGTTGTTCTTGCTATTTTGAGCTATAGAGATGCTGTACCTACAGGTTTAGTTTCTCTAGGTAAGCTTTGGCCAGGTCTCTCTACGGCCATGAGTCAGCCATCTGAAGGTAAGTAAGTGCTAATAGTAGTGATTCTCATCCTTTCTGTGCATTACTGGACCACATGTGGTCCAAGAGATTTGTTGGATAGAAAAAAAATCCTTATTCAAAGTAGTTAAAGCAGAATCAATGCGACAATGACCAGTTAGGTCAAATCTTAATGTTAGTTTAAGAATTCCTTTATATCGGTAATCTATGTGCATTATGGAAAAAAAAAAAACTGTGATCCAAATAATTCCAGCATAATCTCTTTCATTTGCCTCAATGATACTGCAGTTACTTTATTTAAAAATAGAAATGCCGTGTAATATTAGTCCCAAAGCAATAAAACCTGATATGTGCTATAATTGGGAATATAATCTCACATTTAAGGGTACACTCCAAAGATTCTAGCTCCTTCAAAAGGGACTGGCGGTGATGTATAAAGGAAAACTGTATTTCAAAGAGTCCAATAGACAGTGTAAATATGTTCACACACACACACATTTTTAGTCAGGGAAGAAATATAGTGCCCTTAAGTTATCTTTGGTACATTTTTCGGGTTGTTTAATTCCTTAGTTTCTTCATTTTTTGTCCTGAAACACTTTGGAGATAATTAGGACCACTATATTTTTGGTTTTTATTTATGAAAAATATATATTTCCTTTCAAAATAATATTAAAAGATAAAACATAAAAATACAACTTTCTTTGTGCCTCATATTCCAATCAAGAAATGCAAAAAACATCACTAATATATCCTATAGCCATAAGTGGCATAATTAAAATGTTAGGAGGGTCACAAAAGTAAGAGGACTTCCCACAGACTAAGAGAAAATATTTACAAATAACATCTGATAAAGAAATGACTGCTACCCAAAATCTGTAAAGAACACTTACAACTCATCAAAAGGAAAATGAACAACCTGATTAAAAAATGAGCTGAAGACCTGAATAGATACCTAACCAAAGAAAACTTACAGATGATAAGCATTTGAAAAGATGGTCAACACCATATATTATTAGGAAATTGCAAATTGAAACAACATTGAGATACCACTGTATACCTAGTAAAAGGCCAGAATCCCAAACATTGACAACACCAAATACTAATGAGGTTGTGGAACAGTGGGAACTCTCATTCACCGGTGGGAATGCAAAGTGGTACAGCCACTTTGGAAGACAGTTTGGTAGATTCTTAATAACCTAAACATACTCTTAACCATACCATCTGGCAATTGTGCTCCTTGGTATTTACACAAATGAACTAAAACTTATATCCACACAAAACCTGCACATGGAGATTTACAGAATCTTGATTCATAACTGTCAAAAGTTGGAAGCACCCAAGATATCCTTCAGTAGGTGGATGGATAATTAAACTGGGAAACATACAGACAATGGAATGAATACATGGAATATTTATTTATTTATTTATTTATTTATTTATTTATTTATTTATTTATTTTTGAGACGCAGTCTTGCTCTGTTGCCCAGGCTGGAGTGCAGTGGCACCATCTCAGCTCACTGCAACCTCCGCCTCCTGGGTCTGAGTGATTCTCCTGCCTCAGCCTCCCTTGTAGCTGGGACTACAGGCACATGCCACCATGGCCAGCTAATTTTTGTATTTTTAGTAGAGACGGGGTTTCACCATATTGGCCAGGCTGGTCCTAATCTCCTGACCTCGTGATCCACCCACCTCAGCCTCCTAAAGTGCTGGGATTACATGGAATATCATTTAGTGCTAAAAGAAATAAGGTATCAATCCATGCAAAGACATGGAGGAAATTTAAACACATATTGCTAAGTGAAAGAAGCTAATCTGGAAACGGTACATACTGTGTAATTCCAACTACATGATACTCTGGAAAAAAAGAAAACCGTGGAGACAGTAAAAAGATCAGTGGTTGTCAGGGATTGGAGGAAAGAAGGGATGAACAGACAAAGTAGGGAGGATTTTTAAGGCAGTGAAACTGCTCTGTATGATACTACAATGGTGATACGTGCCATTCTACATTTGTCCAAATCTATAGAATATGCAACAGCAAGTGTGAACCCTAAGGTAAACTATGGACTCTTGGTAATAATGTGTCCATGTAGGTTCAACTATTGTAACAAATGTACCTCTCTGATGGGGAATTTTGGTAGTGGGGAAAGTTGTGTGTATGCCGGAGCAGGGCGGGTATATGGGGACTCTAAAACTATTCTGAAAAATAAAGGGTATTAAAAAATGTTGGGAGAACATTTGAGACACAGATGATTGCATGTGGTTGCAGCTGCTTGTCATTGTAATTTTGCTGAAATATCCACCATTTTATTTGTTGCATCACAAAAAGAACTGTGACTTACGTTTCGTAACATGCGTAGCTGATTTCATGCACTTTTAACAGTTCAGAAAAATCATTTCTCTATGCCAACTGTTGCAAAACATTTTTGTTGTTTATGACCTCTGTGGTCGGTCTCTAACTTTGCACACTAAATATGCAGAAGAAAGGGCAAATAGCAGCTTTGTATAAATGGAAAAACAGCGCTATATTTTCTAAGGTAAATGACTGAAAGAGTATCCTTTGAAGTTGTAACCACTCATTATGACTGAAACTTTATAGATTCAGATCTGTGGTTCCCAGAAACTACAAAAAGGAAACAAAAAGGAAGATACCCCAGTAGAAAGCATATGGAGTGTGGCAAGTGAGAGGAGACTAGATCGTAGACTCACACAATATCATGGCAGGAAGGACCCTAAGGGAGACGCTGGCCCAAGGATCTTTTCTCCGCCCATCCATGGCTGCTTATAGCATCCGGAAGAGGCTTCAGATGATTCATGTAGCCCTAGAAACTACAGGAGAAAAGTTAATTCGCATCTGCATATGTGATGTTTAGGGAGAAGAAATCCCATCACTTTCATTAGAAATCTCAAAAAGCTATACGATGACCCCAAAATGGTTAGGAATTACTGAAACTATAGTCAGCATCCCAGAGATGTGAAGAAACACACTCGGAGTCATGCAGTGCTTATATTGGTGTTTAAAAAGTTTGTTGACTTTTTCATAATCCAAGTGACTGATGAAACGTTTAAAGAATAAAATGACAATCATAGAAGCTTAAATATTATAGATATCAAATTAGGCAAATGGTGCCTACTTGATTGTTTTTAAAAAATAAAACGTTGCCTAGAAAATATGTTCCAGTAGGGTGAATCCCTTTGGTGTAAATATTAAATTATCTAACACATAATCTTTATTTCTCAGTATCAGACAATTTTTCCTGCATCTATGTAGAACTGTTTGTGAGCATAGCAAACAGAACACAGGTGATAACATATAAAAGGCAGCAGATGTCTCCCCTGCCACAGCCTACTGGCCACAGTACCTCCAGAATTTCTGCTTACTCTTTAATACTCCTGAATTAGGCAATATTATTTAATATTTGTTCTTTGAAACACAAATCTCATGAAATTCTCCAGGACAAAGGAGTCTCATATCAAATATGTTAAATAATATTTGAAAAATCCCAGTGTACATACATATATTAAAGGCTCTGACAAATTCTGTACTCAAGATATTTCACTAAACTTAACTAAGTTTTATTTATTTCTTTTTTTTTTTTTTTTTTTGAGATGGAGTCTTGCTCTGTTGCACAGGCTAGAGTGCAGTGGAGCAACCTCGGCTTGCTGCAACCTCTGCCTCCCGGGTTCAAGCAATTCTCTGCCTCAGCCTCCCGAGTAGCTGGGATTACAGGCACCCACCACCATGCCCGGATAATTTTTGTATTTTTAGTAGAGACGGGGTTTCACCGTCTTGGCCACGCTGGTCTTGAACCCCTGAACTCATAATCCACCCACCTCAGCCTCCCAAAGTGCCAGGATTACAGGCGTGAGCCACTGCTCCCAGCCTAAGCTTTATTTCTTAAACATATTTGAGCCTTTTATTTATTTTCTTTAAAAAAATGCCCAGCAGGACTTGGAAAATAAGGGGAAAAAAAGGCTCTAATGGAATGTAAACATGTTATCTGGAAGAGGAACACTGTAAATTATTATATTAATAGCTGTGAGTGCTTTTCAAAAGTCACCAAGTAGAATGTTAAGGGAAAAGGACTCTCAGCGGGAGGAAGTCAGAAAAAGATGTTCAGCCCTTTGCAGATGTTAATCATGATTTATTCTCGGGGTAGTCTGGGATGAGACACATGGGCAGGGATTCACAGATTTTGGAGTGCAGGAAAATCACTTCGTGAACATGTGAAAAGTGCAGATCCTCATGCCCCAACTCAGTCTGTTTCCAAGTCTGCGTGGACCTAGAGATCTCACATTTTTAGGAAGTACCCTGGTGACTTAGAAGCAAGTGGTGGCTGGATAAGCCTTGAGAAACTGCATTGAGGATGGGGAGGACAAAGATTAGGAAAGATAGAGAAGGAACGGGCAAGACCTGAGAGCAGCTGCCTGATTTCTTCTGATGCTCGGAAAGTTTGTGCATACAGCTTTTCCTGGGCCCACAGGAGAGGACTCTGTGTCAGCCCCTTTGTCCATCCAGTCCTACAGGGCTGCATTGCATCCTGTTAATTCCAGCCTCAATCATGGATGACTATCTTCAAGATGACACAAAAGCTCTTACATGAGCCGGCTTATTGTTACCAATAGTTTCACTTAAGCGCTTTGATCAATACCTGACAAGTCAATTAAAGCATACAAATGCTTTCTCAGGGAGCCCCACTGGAGTCCCCTCTTTTGCTTTTAAAAAGCATATTTTGTTCTTTTTTTTTTTCTTTTACAAAAAGAAACACAACTTTCCCAAATTTGTGCATCCTTCTGATTCTGGTTTTAGAAAGGAAATGAAATTTGTCACGCTGCCATACATCATTTCCCTCGCAGTACAATGTCCCATCTGTGTGTCAAGTACAAAAGAAAAGCATTTTGTGAAAAATTGCTGAAGAAGTAATGATTTTTGTCCTCAACTCCTTGTTTTGCCTTTCAATAAAGAAGGCGACATGTGCCACAAATGATGTATTATTGTTTAGGTACAACCCCAGTAATACAGTGCATAACCAAAACCATGTTTCACAGCAGAGAAACTATAGTTTACTGCCCCTATGGCTCTGATGAGAATATAATGTTCTACAGTTTATAAATGCTTTGAGGTCAATACATGATTTGCTTCAGCTTGTTCATCCAATGAGCAGGGGATCCAAAAATATATCAAGCTATTAGACAGCCCCCTGGAAGCTGGACTGAGGCAGCAGTGATGGAGAGGTTCCATGGAAACCCCTCTGTCAGCTGGAGATGAGATAATTAGATCCAGGTAATACACTGGAACCCCAACAGGGAGCCGCCAAGCAAACATGTCATCTTTATGGGCCTTTCTTATCCTGCGCAGCAACTGTGGCCTAAGACAATGAAGCATTGAGGGATTCACTGATGCCCAGCAACACCCCACAGTCACTCAGTCAGTCCCGTTATCTAGAGACCCTTCTTCCTACAGAAGTAAGCCAAAAGGACAGGGCCCCAAGAAAAGTTCTTTTTAAAGTACTTGTTTTTATTTGTCAACCAACATTTTTTTTTCTCTTCTTTTTTCCTTTTCTTACAATATACCATCAATCATGTATTGGATTCATCTTAGACTTCAATTATGTACATTACCAATTGTTCATTTGTTATTTAAAATAACTCTCACATTGGGAATGCCCTTTAAACTGTAATCCAAATAGTTACTTGATTCAATTCCTTGAATTAAGTAGAACATACCATCCTTTCACCCTGACTTCAGGTGGCTAGTCCTTATGATTTCGTCATAATTTTACTCATTCGACAAATATTTATCGAGGGACCTGAATTATGCCAGGCATAGCACTAAATGCTGGGGATACACTAGACCACAGTCAAGTTGTGAGAGATTTTACAATGATATTTTGTAAATAATAAGTTGCTTACATTTGTGAAAAGTACTGCGAAGGAAAAGTATATGATGCTTGCCAAGAGAGATTAAAATAGGGGTAATTCATTTAGTTTGAGAAATGAGACCCTGTTTCTCTGAGAAAGTGATGTCAAACTGAATAAGATTTAGCTAGGTGAAGGAGGGTGGAGTGATAGCGCTTAGACTGAGGGACCTTCTCTCAACAGAGGTAAATCCATGTGCAAAGTCACAGAGGTAGAAAGGGCTATCACCACCACTGCTAACACCCATATAAGCACCATCAGCATCCACTATCATCATTACTATTATTATCATCATCACCATTATTATCACCACCACCATCATCACCACCACAATTGCCTCCACCACCACCATCATCACCACTACCATTACCTCTGCCACCGCCATCATCACCACTACCATTACCTCTGCCACCGCCATCATCACCACTACCATTACCTCTGCCACCGCCATCATCACCACTACCATTACCTCTGCCACCGCCATCATCACCACTACCATTACCTCTGCCACCGCCATCATCACCACTACCATTACCTCTGCCACCGCCATCATCACCACTACCATTACCTCTGCCACCGCCATCATCACCACTACCATTACCTCTGCCACCGCCATCATCACCACTACCATTACCTCTGCCACCGCCATCATCACCACTACCATTACCTCTGCCACCGCCATCATCACCACTACCATTACCTCTGCCACCGCCATCATCACCACTACCATTACTACCATTACCTCTGCCACCACCATCATCACCACTACCATTACCTCTGCCACTGCCATCATCATCACCACCACCACCATCCCTAGCATCATCTTGACCACCCACATCACCACCAGCATCACAAGCATAATTTCCAACTTGTTGTAGAGCTACTAGGGACTAAGCTGTTACACTATAGAAGTCATCTTTAATGCTTAGTATAATTTTGAAAGGGAGGTATTACTATCCCCAACTCAAAAATAAGGATAATGTATCTCTTTATATTTGTAACTTGCACAAGTCAACTAGCTGATGAATGGCCGATCCTGTATTTTAATCAAATCAGTCTGAATCCAGTGCTTATACGAGCTCATTATATTAATAGTAAACATTTTAGTATGGTATGTTTCTAATAATGCTTTTTTCAATAGGGATTTTTGCATTTTAATGTATGATTTTTTACCATGTTTGGTTAAAAGTTTAAATGCCAACATTTATGCCAGTGTGTTCAAAGAACATCTTTATAACCTTTATAACCTCCTCATTAGCATCATTTGATCTGAAGATTTTCTGTAAATTATTTCAAAGGCCAACTATCAGGAGGAGTTTCATCTTACCAAATAAATGTGAACATATATGAATTAGAGAATATAATTTGTAAAAAAAAAATTAAATTATAAGCAAGATGGAGCAGAAGTACCAAACATGCTTCACTAATTGAAAATGCATTATACTAGTACCATTTTGTTTGGTTTGGTTTGATTTGGTTTAAGTTGAATGAGGCCTTAGAGATCATTCCAATCAGTACTTTTATTTTACACATGAGATCCTGAGGCATGAGAGGAAAAGAGACTCATCTGTGATCATGATCTCAGTTTCATGGTTCACAACAATTCCTTGAACGCTGACCATGTCCCAGACACCGAGTTATGCAACAGAGCTGCAAAGAAAAGTAGCCCCTGAAAAGTTTATCATTAATCAAGGGGAGATAATGAATTCAATTTCTTTAAAATGTGGTCTAGTGTAGAGATTGCAGCCTGCTATAGAAACAGAAAGAAGCAGCACTTGAGAATTTAGAATTAAGCACAGGAGAAGAAGGGAAGAAAGGTCACATCTAAATAGAGAGACGAGCTCAAGCATGGATATGAATAAATGCACTTAGAGCACAAGATGAAAAGTGGACAGTGGCTGGACAGATTGCAAGGACCTGAATATTGAAGGTTTTAGATGTTATGAAAAATTGCCTAGACTTGGCAGTGGCAGCTCCTGGATATTTTCCAGCATGAAAGTGTACAGGCTACATCTCTTCCTTCAGTAAATGGAGGAAGATGGTATAGTGACATGGAGTGGAGGTCAGATAGGAAGAGGGCTAGCCTGAAGTCATGATGTCCAAATAAGAGCCTGCTGCCATCATCCAGGCATAGAACAAGATCAATTAGAGTAGAGGTGGAGGTGAGATGACGCATTCAAGAAATATAGGGAGGTAATATCACTAGATACAAGATTTTGCATATGGTTTGTTAGGTAACAGGTGGAGCCTTGAAATGAATAAAGACTAATGAAAAAGAAGCATATTGAAGGTCAAGTGCATAAAGGGCTGGATTGTGGACATTTATACTTTATGAATTTTGGATGCCTGTAGGGCTTTCAAGACAATACATTGAGTAGGCCATTGGCTATGTGAGCCCTGGTCTAACATCTGTGGGAAAGCCAAACTAAACTCTTGATTCCCAGTCAATTACTCATTCTACTATAATTTACTGTCTTCCAGGGACTCTGAGGTTTCCCCTTAAGCTGCTTTTTCACAGTTGAAATGAAAGAGTCACCTAATAAGACAACAGAAATTATATAATAAAATCTGCTCTGAGCTCATACCACATTAAAGACTGAATAATAAACAATTAAATGCCTCTGTGTTTGGTTCACATGATTACATTTTAGAACTGGGAGAGAGCTCATAGAATGGTCTAGGGCCCCAGTTAATTCATACTCAAAAATAAATAAGTCAGTCTATGTGCAACCCAGTTATATACTCTCTGGTGGGTCCCAAGCCCTCCAGACATTTGGAATTACACATCCCTTTTAAAATTAAAGTAAAATAATGGAGTTATCATCCCATACACAATGGAGTTATTAATGTTCTCCCTAAGATTACCGTGGATGGCTCAGAGCAATCTTGCATAGTGGTTTAAAAGCAAGTTCCAGAGTCAGATGGTGTTTGAATCCATAATATGCCATTTACACCTATGTAATCCTAAACAAGCCGCTTAAGCTCTGTGTGCCTCAGTTTTCTTATGTGTAAAGTAGGGATAACATTACCTATGTAATAGGATTGTTAGGGTGTTAAATTTACAATGCATTCAAAGCACTCAGAAAACTGTCTAACACAGTAAACAGCCAATGAATGTCAGCTGTGATGCGCTCATACCACTCACTTTCTGTCTCTCCTGAACATCAGGTATTAGGCCATAGTAGGTTTCTCCTCTCACCCGCTAGTCCTTTGAAGACAATTTCCTTCAGACTGCTCAGCCTCAATCCAAAAGTCCTCTCACTTTATGATGCCCAGGGATTCCAATTCTCTCTTCCAGAAGGTGCGTGAATGGAACTGTGGAAGATGGGAAGCTGCCACTTCCACCACCATCAATCCTCACAGGGTGTCTTTCCAAGATAAAGGAGAAGTCCTCTTTCCACGAAGCATTCTGAACTGTTGGATTCTCAGGGCTATGGTTCATTTTTTTCCTAGGTACCAAGTCCAGTGATCCCCAGTCAAAGATTATTTCTACAACACTGGGCACTGCCTTTTCTGCATGCTTGACTGCAGATGCCCGTCCTGTAGCTGTTGGTATAATCTGTGCATAAGCCATGGCTTTATAAAAATAAATTGATGGAGATGGAAATCTGTGAAGTTTATAAAACGGTGTATTTTTGACAAAAGTTACATTATAAAAAGGACAGAGGAGAGATATGGAATAATTTATAAGGACAATCCCATGGGATAGTAAATAAACTACAGAGTAAAGCCTGAGCCAAACTATCTTCTATTAAAGTCTCTTCATTGTTATTCAAGTGTATTTCACCCCTCTCCCAAGTGGAAACTATTTGCACAAAACAAAAATATTAGAAATAGAGCCCTAGGAATTTGGGCAGTGAAAGAAAATCTTGTTAAAACTTGAGAGAAGAATTGGCTTTAGGCAAAATTGTCAAGATTCTTTTCGTCACCTTTCTGCCTGTCTCTTCAGTCCCTTTTTCTTCTTTGCAAATTCTCATTTCTCCCAGATGCCTTTCTTCATTATTCCAAAGGCAGTATTACATTTGTTAACTCATTAATTCATTCATCCTTGAGTGCCTAAGATGCGCTACGCGCCCAGCTCTGGGAACACATAAATAAATGGGAGAGGGCTCTGGCCTTCCCAGAGCTTACACACCTCTCTTTAGGTTGCTCACCAACTTGCAGAAACCTACCCACCAACATGTAAAAACCAACTATTACATTGTTCTTTTGACCCAGGAAATAAGCTTTTGAGATAAAAACAAGCAATATCCTCCCTCACTGGCTTTCAGATCACTAAAGAGAGATCACTGGACTTAGATCATAGAATCTGCCTATCCCAAAGTAAGAAGTCACTATTTTTATATTTACATATCTTTTCAACCTCAACTGTAAGAAAAACAGCTTGTGACTCTTCATTCAGCAAATCAAATGGTCTGGCTGGTACACAAACAACAAGATAACTAAAATCAGAGATAATTCCACAAGAACACGAGTTGTTTATTTGCAGTGAACTTCACAAAGGGTTGATAACCTTAATATAAAACTAATTTAGAGAAATTAATAAGAAAACCACTAACTTTTCCAAAGGAAATGAGCCAGACACACAAAAAGGTAATTCACAGGTAATAAATTTAAACAAGGAATGAGCATTGTTTATCATTTATATTAAATAAGACATACATTTCAACTATAAAGCTAAAAGTTTTTTATACAGTGAATCAATATTCAACTATAAAGCTAAAAGTTTTTTATACAGCGAATCAATATGTGAGAATATCTTACATTCCAGTAAAACATGTTTGAGCAAGAGAATCCAAAATCATGTTTAAATTATTTATCCATAGAAAATATTTTTAAAATGAGAATGTTCATACTTTTTTCTAAAAAGTGGATTAGAGTTGTTCTTTTTAAATATACTTTTCTGTATTTTACACTTTTCACTCCTTTACACCCAAACACTTCAGTGTGTATTTCCATATTTCTATACAAACACACACACACACACACACACATTAAAACAATAACATTCTTTCTGCGTAACCAGAGTATAATTATCAAAATCAGGAAATTAACATTGCCACAATACTATCATCTAATCTATAGATCTTATTCAAATTTTATTAATTATCCCACTAACATGCTTTAGAGAAAACAAAGCAACAAAACAAAACAAAAAATGTGATGTGAGAGCCAATCCAGAATGACATGTTGCATTTAGTTGTCACATCTAGTCTCCTTTAACCTAGAACAGTTCCTCAGACATTGTCTCGTGCCACTTAACATTTTTGAACACTACTGGCCAATTATTTTGCATAATGTTCTCACATGGGATTTGTATGATGTTTACTCTTGATTAAACTCAGATCATGCATGTTTGACAGGAATACCATAGAAGTGATACTGTATCCTTCTCAGTGCATTATATCAAGAGTCACATCATGTACATTTGCTCCATTCCTGGTGAGTTCAAATGGAATTATCTGGTTAAGGAGGTGTCTGCTAGGTTTCTCTAGTGTAAAGTTGTAGTGTTTTGTGGAGAAATATTTTGGTAAATAAATTTCCTGCTTCTCATCAAAATTAACCAATTAGTTTTAGTACCTATTGGACATTTCCTGGTCTGAACCAAGAATCTTTATAATCATTGTCAAATGGTAACTTTCTAATTTCACCACTTTTCTAAATTTATCAGTTAGTATTCGTATTCATTTTTGAACGTGCATGTCTGAAATATAGAATCAGAAAAAATAAATGGTGTTAAAACTTATAAATTGATGCATCTTGTTTTGTTATTTGTTACCTTTAAAGAGTTTATAACTCTCATTATTTTATCAATTTAACACATTCCTTTGGTCTTTCAGAATATAAGGCTTTTTTTTTTTGGTTAGCAAATCAAAATTGCCTAAAAAGTGAGGGAATTCAGTCATTCAACTTCAATTACACAAAACCAATCCTTTTAATCCTGTCTTCTCTTGATTGTTTATGAGATTACCACTTTGTCCTAGACAGAAGGAGAAAAGTTTACAAGGTGGAAGCAAGAATTTCTAGTTCCAAAGCAAAATACTTATGGCATGACAACAGGAACAAAGGAGTAACTGATAAAAACAGCAGGAGGATTCATCCTTAAATTGATTCATGGGCTCAGATAGTGGAGCACAGGTTTAAGAAATGTGCAAATGCAGCAGTATTGACATGATTTCTGCACTCCTAGGCAACCTCTTGCCTGTATTCTGGGAGAACTCAACCCGCATACAGGAAATATACTGTGGGAGCATGTATTGAGATATTATGGGAGCTATAGTTTTAAGGCAGGACTAGGAAAGTCTTGATATGCTAGGGAAAGATGTGAACACTAAAAGAGTGATGCAGTTCTGCATATTTCACTTACTGAATCATGCTGGGAAAGCACTGATGAAACCCGACCACATACTCCTTTAAAATGCCTCGCTCTCTCATTCCCAGAGAAGGGGGACTTGGTGGGTTTTTTTCTTTTATTATACTATTTTGCATGTTATAGATAGATATAGAAGTAAAAGTAGAGATAGAGAAATATTTTTTTTCACTTCCACTCAATTTTTATTTTTATATATTTATTTTTGTATTATTATACTTTAAGTTTTAGGGTACATGTGCACAACGTGCAGGTTTTTTTTTTAATTGACTATTCCTTTTAAAATGTTTGCCGTTTGAAGATAGGTTCAGAAAGTTCATCAGAAAAGATATTGGACAATGTAGAGAATAATGAGGAAAAGAGAGAGGAGAGTTTTAGATCAAAAAAGACAAGTAGATGCCATCTAGTTCACACCACCAAATTTTATATACATATATATATATATATATATATATATATATATATATATATATGGAAATTAAGGCTCAGGAGAGGGAATTTGCATCAGATTTATGAAATGGAATAGAGGTAAGAACTGAGGTGGCCTGCCAGCCTCTGCAAGGCTCTGGAACTGCTATCCAATGGCACACCATGGTCTTGCACAGTTCTAGGGCTGCTTTCTAGCTGGTGTCTAGCTGCAGTTGTAAAAGTAAGAAATCCCAAGAGTAGGGTTGCCAGATTTTTAAAAAAGGAGTCCCATCAAATTTGAATTTCATACTAAAACCAAGTAGTTTTCATATAAAAAAAAGTCTCAAATATTCTATTAGATATACTTATGCTTAAAAAAATTTGCTGTGTAGCTGAAATTCAAATTTAATTAGGCAGTCTGTATTTTTACCTGCTGAATTTAGCAACTTCACCCAAGAGCCGTGTGACCAGAGACTCACAAATACGGAGTAAAACAAGAAAATGGTATAATTCATCAAGAGGATAACTCTAAGAAGGAGTCTTTGATTTATGAAGTGATAGATGTGAGATGACATACCGATCATAGAATTTAAAGTTCCTATTTTTAAAATAAAGATTATTAAATAACCATATAGCAACCTTAGCTGTATTACCTCATAGATTCACTGTGAATATCCATTGAGATTTTAGTTGGAATACAATTTAAAAAATACATGAAAACTAGTGACCATGAAACATGCATATAAACATCTAAATATACCTCATTTATCCTCTCAATTATCCTCTTAGTTATAATCTATTTTACATCTATCTTACAGATGATGAAACCAAAACTCAGAGAAGTTGAGGTTGTGTAGGTTTTCCATGATGTCGTATGTTGTCAGAGTTTTTTGATAGACTTGCTATTTAGGCAAAGTCTACCTAACTCTGAAGTCCCAAATCTTAACCATGACATGATAAACAGCATCCCTATATTTGTAGGAATTTAATCAGATATGTACAAGGATATTTATGTTCTAGGATGCTCACCATAGAGTTATTACAAAGAAATTAAATTTTTATAAATGGTTACCAATAATAAATTCACTCAGTGAATTAAAGATCATATGTTGATAAAATGCTGTGTCATCACTGAAAGTGATGTATAGAAAGATGAAACTTAACTAACTCAAGGATAAATTTTACAGAAGAAAACTTTGTCATATTTATCAGCAGGTATGTAAGTAAAAATGTTATTTTTGAGAAGTGGGATTATTAGTTGTGTTTAATATTTTCTACAATCTACAAAATACTTTTGTAATCAGAAAAAAATTGATGGACTCTATAAAAAACAAATTTGGTCAAATAATGAAATGTACCCAACAATATAATTATGTTTGTTCCCTCTTTTCTGGGAAGGGAACAAGAGGTGACGTTAGCTATGGAAGAATAAAGAACATTTGGATCACAATCAAATCTGTAACACAAATCCTAATCTAAACAGACAGTGAATTAAGCAATAAATTCTTATTTTAACAATACATTCAAACATTTAATGGAAGTTATTTTTTCAGGTTTTACTACAATAACTATAATCCCGGATGGCTGGTGTAATTGGGAACTCGTTAGCCAAAGTCACATCTGAAGTATAAGAAAACAATTACAATAGAAATTAAGTATAATAACACCCAGGCATCACCTGCAAGCATGAGAAAACTTCCTATTCTAAATTGGGTATCAAATTTTTGCAACTTTATAATGTCATAGTTTCATAGTTTTGTAGTTTTTGTTATAAGATTATCATTGCTAAAGACAAATGGTATCTAAATGTGTTACAATTTCAATACTACTTGATTTAACAGAGTGTCCCTAGGCACACAGAGGATAGGAAGGACGGAATTTAAATACCATTTTGGACACTGGGGCATGAAAGTTGGTTTAGAAGTGTTGCACAAGTCTTCCAGACCAATGCTCATTCAAGCACTTTATAGAGCAATGCATAGTTTAAACAAATCCAAACTTGTCAAAGAGTAGAGGCGATGATGTCAGCAAGAAGTTAAAATAAAAGCAGTCTCGCTATTCAAGCAAGATAAGAGTATTTACCTTTCGAAATGAGAAGAGACAGATGAATTATCCGCTAATCATTTGGATTACTCTCTAGGCAGAAGGAGGCAAGGCCAATCCAAATTGTAGAAATTTCAAATTGCAAAGTTTTTCACTGGTATTTGTCCTCCTAAAACTGGCTAGTACTAATATATATATATATATATATATATATATATATATATATATATATATATATATGTATTATATATGTTTCAGCTCCCAGTGGGCTTAGGAGACCTAGCTCCTAATTCAGTGAGCTGTGAAATAAAACCATACTGACTACCACACAGCAAAAGACTTAGGCACCCCACCAGGTTCTAGCCATGTGACTGATCTTGGTTTAGGTTCTATGGGGTTGAATCCGAGGCTACTACACCAGACACACAAGAGAGTTGCGATTCGGGTGCTAGTTAGGAAAATGCCATGGAGGAAATCAGTGTTTGGTTGTGCGGAGGCAAAGTTCAGCTGCCAAACCTAGATATCAGAGGTGGGAAGTAAGGTTCTCAAGTGAGGTCTGAACCCCTCAGATAATGGAATCAAAAAGACAGGCTCCTACTACAGAAATGGGTCAGATTTGCATAAAGTTGCAGGACTATTATGACCCACATCATCTGGGGTAGGTTGCATTATTTCTCTTGGTCTCAGATTCTTCACTGATTGAAGGGCATAATATTGTTACTCAAACACCAGAGGTTCAGTCTAGATTCTGTTGCTTGCTGCACGGAAAGCCAATGACTGAGATGTCAGTATTGCCAAGGAAGAAAGCTTTCATCTTGTGCCACAGTTGAGGAGATGGGAGCTCAGTCTCAAATCCAGGTCCACTCACTCACTCCAAGACAAGATCTAGGGTTGTATATAGCAAGGAAGACATGTAACAATGTGTAACAAAATAGAAACTAGGGAGGAGCAAGGAATCAATTATGGTGAATGAGGGGTCCAGCATCTCATTGGCTGGATGTGGTGACCTGGTGAATTTCATTTCTTTGACACTTTGATACTTTGAGAAGCCTGAAGGTCTGCAAATATAAGGTTCAAGCTTTAAGACCAGAAGGGTCAATATCTATGCTTATCAAAAAACTATGTATGGGACTATTGGGTCGTTTTCAATATCAACTGCTCTACCCTTACCTCTAATGTTATTCATGGAATCACGTGTGATAAAGTCTCTTCAAAAATAAAGAGTGCAGAATTCTCTATATAAATTAATAAATATTTTCTGAATTTGGTATTCTGATAATTAGTTTATTTTCAATTATTAAATGCATTATAAGTATCTTTATCTCCTTACTCCTTATGCCCCAACTCTTAACCCCCACACATCTCCAAAGAATGGCACCTCTTCTCCTAGTCAGAACCCATCCCTCCAGATGTACTTAGGTACCTGTCCCCTCATTCACTTATTCCTTCATTCAGTAGACACTGATCCCTTAATTCCTTCTTATTTTCAACTTTTCCCCCTCTCCTGGCTCTTTCTCCTCAGCATTAAAACAATGTTCATTACTCTTATATACACATTTTTTTCTTTCCTTGCATCTAATTGTAATCTTATCTATTTCTCAGTATTTTAGAAGGACTAGCCAACAATCTTCAACTATCAAAATATGACCTCAGCATTCATCTTACTGAAATGAATTTCACTAGAATAAAAACTAATAATAAAAATTATTACAATGGTTAAACCCATTAAATGATAATTACTATTTGTTAGGCATTATGAGAATATCTCCATAGCAACTGTAAAAATTAAGCAAAATTGTTTATTACCCCTTTACAGATAAGGATTGAGACCTGAAGTAGTTAAATACCTTCTCTAAAGACAGAGTTGTCAGCATTGGAGCCAAAATTGGAAGCCAAGTCTACCAAATTGTAGATTTCAACTCAGAGTTCCTTCCTAAGTACCAGACCACTTACACAACTGTCTACTGTCTGTCTTCTCTTGGCAAAGCAATTTCAATAAGTTCAAAATCAAACCCATCATCTTCTCCTCTCTAAATCTGCATCCCTACTTCTGGCCACCTCTTGTGGCCTTCCCCTTTAAAATAAACTACCATATGTTTGTTCCGTCTGATGGCCAACTCTTCCCAGTCCTATAAAAAGTGAGCTGTGCATAATTCCTAATGTTGCCTTACCTCTGAGTAGCCTCCCATTGTTATATTCCACAAGTATTTATTGAGCAGCTGCTACATAAGGCACAGTTTAGAGCCTAGCAACACTAAAAGATGTAAAATATGATCCCTAGACTCAATAAATATATAATCTATTGAGATAGAAAAGAACCACTCAAAATAGTTAGAGAAAACTATAAAAGGGATTTAGAACAAGAATCCATTTAGTATGTAACTTGCCACACAATACAGGAATCCACTTTCTGATATCTTTGCTCTGGCATGCCCAGTGAAGAGCAATTTGGAAAGCCTGTGTATTAGAAAACATTTTTTATACTGGACTGAAATCTCTGTTTTTTGTTCTACTCTCCAAAATAACATAGAATAAATCCAATCCTTTTATCCTCAAATTTTAAAAGCATTTTTGAATATCTTCAAATATTTTCAGTGTAAGACTGTTGGCCCCTCTGAAGGGGTTTCTTTGTACTGCTGATTGGCCTAGATGTAATAACAATATACCACAATGTCATAATTTTCAGGTATTATTAATTGAACCCCACCAGAAGCCAAGAACTGTGCTAAGTAATGTACACATATAGATGAATAAGACATAGCTCTTTTCCTTAAAAAATGTACATATATATATATACATATATATACAAATTATTATAAATATATATATGTGTGTCTGTGTGTGTGTGTGTATATATATATATATATATATATTTTTTTTTTTTTTTTTTTTTTTGAGACAGAGTCTCACTCTGTTACCCAGGCTGGAGTGCAGTGGTGTGATCTCAGCTCACTGCAAGCTCCACCTCCTGGGTTCAGAACATTCTCCTGCCTCAGCCTGCCGAGAAACTGGGACTACAGGCATCCGCCACCATGGCCGGCTAATTTTTTTTGTATTTTTAGTAGAGACGGGGTTTCACCTTGTTAGCCAGGATGGTCTCGATCTCCTGACCTCGTGTTCTGCCAGCCTCAGCCTCCCAAAGTGCTGGGATTACAGGGGTGAGCCACCACACCCAGCAAAAAATATTTTAATGAATTTGAAGTGATAATACATATATACAAAACTGGACATAATCAATGAAAAATATACCAAGTGCCTTGAAAGTACAATAATCCACCTAGGAAGCATCTTCTGTCAGTTGTGATGAAGGTTGAAATGAGTGCAAGATCTGAAATGATCATAGCCCAAGAAAATAGGATATGTATTTTTACTTTTCAAGCTCTCTTCATTTATATTTACATTTTACTTTTCAAGGTCTCCCCATTTATATTTATTATAGATATAAAAAGCACACTAGGCTCTAAAGCGTGCCTTATGTAGCAGCTGCTCAATAAACATGTCTATGTATGTTTACATACATAAACATTCATGTATGTTTGTGTAATTCACATATACATTATAATATATAATGTATACATATTAAACATTAATGTATGCATATTCATGTACATACACATACATATATTTTATATATATCATATTTTATATATATATCATATTTATATATATGATATATATATGAAATAGGTATCTCAAATGTAGAATGCTTGAAAACCAGGTCCAACTTTGAAATGCACACTCTCCAGTTTTCAGAAAGTGTTTAACCATTCCTGTTCATCAACACCCACACTGGCTTCTTCTCAACTGTTCTAAGGCAAAAGAGATATGAATATAATACCTTGCATGCATGAATGCATAAAATGAAATGGACTCTCACTAATTAAATATCCTTTGTCAAGCAAGATATAAACAGTGGAAAAAAATCAAAGAATAGAGCAATAAAAGGAAAGACTTTTTGTTGGCACTACTTTGCGAATCTATCCCAAAAATGTGTATGTAAGAGTTAGGTTTGGAATTGTACCGAAATTTCTCTGAAGATATCCATCTTTTGGAATAAAATGTCAGGCCAATTCCAAATTCTCAAATGACTATTTGCCAAAACAAAACACAAAAGCAAAGAAAGACATTTTCTGTATGGTGGAACGGAAATTTATTTTACTTCCTAGGAAATAAATCAAAACAATATCAAAGTAATGCCTCAACTTTTTTGTAGAGAAATGTGTATTCCTAATATAGATATTATGAACATAGACAGTATACATACTTGGTTTTGAAAAGTAAATAATAAATACAAATAAAATATTCATTTGTCATCATTTATCTCTTTCAAATTTTAGTTGCCCACAGGAAAGTCAGGTATACTATATATGAAAACACAGAAGAATATTTTCTAATGATATATAACTGCCACATAAGATATTTAAAGAAAGACAATTTTAAAGGGAACACATTACCATATCATAATTAAGTTGAAAATTGAAAACACACTCTTTTTCTGTTTAGCTTGAATTTTCTAAACTGTATATACACATTAACAAAGGTCATCTGTGTTGGGGTATAATGAGTCTTCTGTTTATTTTTTTCTTCTTTGTATCTCTATGTACCGAAAAATCTAATTATTCTTTTCAAAAATAAATGTTAATAGCATATTAGTCATCTGTGCTACAAGAAAAATAACCTTAAAACTTTAGTGGCCTTTAACAACTGTTTATTTCTTAGCCTTGTCAAATGCTGGAAGCTGAGGTTTTTGTGGTCCTTGTCTATGTGACTTAACATTCTGGTTGAAGGAACAGTCTTTGTTTGGGACATGTTGTTCTCATGGCAGAGAGAAGGAGCAAGAGAGTTGGGAAAAAAAAAAAACACACAAAGGCTTATCAGGTTTCTACCAGACTTGTGACCACCAGCTCACTTGTAGACAGCACAGCAAGTCACATGACCAAGCCCAACTTCAGAAACCTATAGGAGGCATAGAAAGTCATATGGTAAGTCATGTGACAAAGAAAGTCACATGCTACATACCCACATGGGTACATGTCCTTTTACTGGAAGAGGTAGTGATGATTGTGAACAACAATAGCATCAACCAGAGAGTACAAATGTTTCATTCTAAGAGAATTTCCAGACTGAGTGACTTGCATTGATCATAAAGAGAGCTTTAAAGAAAACATACGTGCATATTTTACATGTATCTCATGTAAAATCTATCTAGCCAAAATAAGAACTTAAAATGATGCTGGGGATATAAATAATATGTAAGATATGTAACCATCTTTGGGAACTTAAGCATGAACAATCCACATTAATCAATCTCAAGAGTATGGTCCATCCACAGTTTTATGAAGTAAAATATCAGAATAGAAAAACGTATGAACATAAAGTATTCAAAATAGCACCCTTGAGTGTGCCATCAGTCTGAATAGTCCACTCCTGCACAGCAAGATGTCAAACTTGATTTAATCTGAAAAGCACTTATTGAACCTCCCTCTTTCAAAGAGCTCACACTCTCCAAGGGAAGTGAGCACTCTCACGTGGCTGTGAGACAGAGCTGGGTACCAAAATCACGTCAAAGGACACCCCACACCCATGCATGGCACAGAGACAGTCATTCTACACTACATATACCCACGTGCTGCATTTACTACTGTTCACCAAGAGCCTCATCAATATTAAGGAAGGTGCTCAAGGGCCACTATCCAGTTTGACACTCTGAGGTAGGTATTTGCCCACTTCATTAGGAAACAGGACCACGCGTGTGTAAGCACCAAGCCACCTGAGGCCATGGAAACCAATGTTGAATTTGAGGAAGAAATAAACACTTAAGATTGATGTGAGATGCATTTAAATTCATCAACACTCTTACAGTTCTTTTCTTTATAGGTTATATGGCAGAGCTAGGATCCCACGCCTGTGGTATTTCTAGGAGATGTGGACTTAAAATTAAATGAGAAAAGAGGCATAGTCATAAAGTTTGGGAAATAATATGAATAATTTCTAAACAACTTAGAGCTTGGAGGCTTGTAGTTTGCAAGTTAGAGCTGGAAGATTTAAGTTAGGGTCTTGTTTAAAATAGCAAAGAACAAAAGAAAAAGGAAAGAAATATGAGAATAATGCAAATACCTTTTTAAAAAAATTTTTTTAAATCCTGCACTCTTTAAAGGTAAGATTTGCTTTAAATATCAGCTCAGAAGTAAAGAATATACAAATCTGATTTTTTTATTGTCAAGCTACCACGGGGCTACTAGACCCCCGATTTGTATCCTTATCCCAAACGATCTCATTTTTAAGTGGTTTATAACCTGTCATAAAATTTCACTTTGAGATAAGAATATATGGTTTCATTTTTTAAATTATACTTTAAGTTCTAGGGTACATGTGCACAACGTGCAGGTTTGTTACATATGTATACATGTGCCATGTTGGTGTGCTGTACCCATTAACTTGTCATTTACATTAGGTATATCTCCTAATGCTATCCCTCCCCCCTTCCCCAACCCCACAACAGGCCCCTGTGTGTGATGTTCCCCTTCCTGTGTCCAAGTGTTCTCATTGTTCAATTCCCACCTATGAGTGAGAATATGCGGTGTTTGGTTTTTTGTCCTTGCGATAGTTTGCTGAGAATGATGATTTCCAGCTTCATCCATGTCCCTACAAAGGACATGAACTCATCCTTTTTCATGGCTGCATAGTATTCCATGGTGTATATGTGCCACATTTTCTTAATCCAGTCTATCATTGATGGACATTTGGGTTGGTTCCAAGTCTTTGCTATTGTGAATAGTGCCACAATAAACATATGTGTGCATGTGTCTTTATAGCAGCATGATTTATAATCCTTTGGGTATATCCCCAGTAATGGGATGGCTGGGTCAAATGGTATTTCTAGTTCTAGATCCTTGAGCAATTGCCGCACTGTCAGTCTAAAAGCTATCTATTTTGTAAATGTTGAAAATATACCAGGTTATTTTGAATGTAAATAGATTAGTAACTGGAAGAGTGTAAACTGCCTTCCTTTGGGCAGTACTGTGACCTGGTTAGAACTGGGAGACAGTTGTTGTACTTGAGATAATTTCACATCATAATGGAGTTCTTCACACACACACAGGTTCATACAACATGATCTGTTTTCCCCACCAAGATTTGTTTGTATTAACCTTGAAGATTAATAGGGCCACACCTATGATTAAGTTTTTTTGGAGATTGGCTCCTCTGCCTTGCAGATCAGAATTATGTACCATTGATCCACTCTGGAGATTACTTGGAAGGGCAGCTTGCAAGCCAGTCAAATAAAATCAGAAGGCCAGGAAAAAAGCAAATGCTTTTCATTTGTCCATGTTATGTAAGGGATAATAAGTAAGCATCAACATTTCAGGGCCCTGACCAATAGCAAAGACAAAAAGTGTGCGTCTGTGTGCACAGTTGTGTGTGTATGCACATATATATATTTACATACTTAAATATATACATAATAAATAAACACATATTTATTTATATATTTAGATAACACTGTATATATATAGTGAGATCTCTCTCTATATATATCTCACTATACTTAGTGAGATATACACATATATATACTTAGACATATATACATACAGCGAGATCTAAATATGTAAATAAATATGTATTTAGCTCTATAGCCAAAGTGAACTTCCCAGCTAATGCATCCAAGACCTGTGTAATTTTTGTTCATCTTTAAGAAGAACACAGGTGAGCAAATGATGACAATGAGTAGTCTCTGATACCATTAAGGCAATTTCTTGCTCTGTCTTCTCGTCATTGCCAAGCAATCCTTGAATGTATCTTTGGTAAAGGCTATACAAAAAAGGATAAGACTGAACATATCATATAGAAAGGAGATTGATGTACGGACAGGAATCCAAGTTTCAGTTCCTAAAATTGTTAAATGTTCAGACAGTTTTGTTGTTGTTGTTGCTTTGTGTTAGTTTTCTTTCTTTAAGCCTTAATTTCTAAGTAGCAGTATGGAACAAGATATTCTCTATTTTTAGCTCTAAAAATATAGGTTTCTATGCTTCTGAATGTTACCTCCTCCAGGAATAAGATATTCAGGGAGAAAATATCAAGGTTTTAACAACAGAGGTCCCCTGAAATTTTATTACTTATTTTGTAGATTGACCCATTAGAAATGAAACAATTGGACATGTGTCTCTGTAATTAGGGTCATTAAAAGCTTTTCCTGACAAACCTCATCATGCTTGATAATCCTTACTTATTCACAAGGTCTGTCCCCTTGGGTGGCATGGTATCTGGCACCTAGAATAAGCTCAGACTCTGCCTTGACTGCAAAACACAATAAAGTAATGAACAAACCCGTGTCCCCAAAGAGTGGTTTGTCATGTGTAAAAATCAGGAGAGAGGGCATACACATGACAATTTAATGAAAAGGACATCTAAAACCACCAAATTTTACTTTTGGTTGAAACGTGATGCTTCAGACCATAATCAGGATAGCTGGCTTTGCAGGAACCACTCCAAATACGTTATGTCCAAAGACATTGTTACCTCGGCATTCCTACTGACCTTTTGGGACTGACACCCCCCACCACGCAGCTACCACAGAAGTGCTGTATGAAGTGAGGGAATTCCAAGGCAAACCTTATTTGCAGATCTAAAGGAATGGATTCCTCTTACTCTGTGCAAGTAAAAAATAACACTATTTATGCTCAACTAAAGATCTGCCTTTCTTGAGGTTGGCACTCCTTTTGGAAGGAATCTGTTACTGACACCCAGTCATAAGCAACATTCTTTTTTTCACCGTGAGCAAAAAGTTCAAGAGGTGAAGTCCACTGTCCTTTTTTTTCAGATTACAATTCACTTTTTATTTCTTGATCAGAAAATATATGAAGGGGACATGTCAAGCTCTTCTCGTGTTTTACATCAGATGTCTTCTGAGCCACGTATGTATTATATGTCTCAATATGTAAAAAGAAGAAAGAGAAAAAGAAAGAAAAACTAAAAGAGGGGGGGAAAATCTCAGTTTCAAATAATGAGCATGTGTACCTTTTTGCCTCAGGCCTTCATACACAATTTAGCCAGGAAGCCAGGGTAGATCATGATTTAGCTTTTGACATCTCCTGCCTTCAGGCCAGGAGAGACTAATACCGATTTCTGACTGAGCACGCCACAGGAAAAAAAGTGAGAGAGAGAGAGGCCTTTTATTGACTAAATGATAAAGAGGTTTGTAATGATAAATAACAGTCATTTTATTGTGGAATTCCCCAGAAAAGATGCATTCTGCAGTGTCTGAAGGAGCCTAAAAGCTGAGGTTGGTTCCCCATGGAGCCGAACCTGTTAAACTCCAATTTTTACAGCCAGGGATAGAGGTCGCAAATTGCGGGCACCTCTGGCTATTAAAACCGCAAACCCACTCTACATAGCTGGGGTGGCAGCCTGCTTCTCGGCTCAAGGAAAATTACCAAAGGCTGGATCCCAGGGTGGTTGGTAGAAGGTGCCACTGTCTGTCTGGTATCTGTCTGTCTGTGTCACCTTCTGGCTCCACACACTCGTGTTCTGATGTAATTCAGCTGCTTCTAAGCTCAGGCTGCTGGAGAAATCACTGCCAGTTTTGATCGATAGTTTAATTGTAAACTTTGGGAACAATAATGGATAATTTGGCTTGAACCGTCCATTATGAGCGATGTTGTCTAGGAGAGAGCCTTCAAAATTAAACAAGAGTTGGGCCACATTATTGCATTTGTACAACTCACCCAGAGTTAAATAAATCCCCCTTTACAAATGCTGTCTTGGCATTCTGTGGAGTTCAATAAACATAGGCCCAGGCAGAGACAAGGAGGAAAGAAAATAGTGAAGGGGCCAACGTCAAAACTAGTTACCTGCTGTTTTCCTCTGAAATATTATTATTATGTCACCAGAATAATTCTTTAAAATAATCTTTACATAATAAAAAATGTAAAAAGAAAAACTTCCCCTGAAATAATTCATCCAAATAAGTGGATAAATTACTTCAGGGGAATTTTTGTTTTTCTTAATGGAAATTGAAGCCAAGCCAATAAAAATTTTTAAATCTGTAACATTGGTGACTACCATAGATTAGACTTCTCTGAGGGATATGCAAGACCATTTAGGCATCGGTTGTTTTTTTCATGAAGAAAAGACTAGAAAAAATGAGTTAAAAAATTATTTTTACTAAAATATTATTAAATAGTGGAAATAACATGTTGCATTAGGGATTTATAACAACAAGCCCCAAACCAAGGTTTTTCTATCCCTGTAGGAATAATTAACAGCCTGGCTCAAACCAACCAAAGGGCATATACTTAGACACACTTCCGACATTGAACCCAGGGACTCAAATATCTACGAATATGGTGACAGGGTGGGGCTCAGCTCCAGAGTTTAGTGGTGGCCTATCTTGGTGTCTCACAGAAGCATTTTCCCAAAGGAATATCTCTCAGGAGATTGAATAGCATTACCACGCAGAATAGAGGAGAGTCCATAATGGAAGGATGAATAAAAAAGGAGGTTCTAAAGACACCTGGATCCAAGTGCCAGCTTGTGACTCACTATCTGACAAGCTGCTTCACCTGCCTGTGCCTCAGTGTACCCATATTTTACATGAAGATAATAATGGCAATCACTTCATTGAGTTATTACAAGCACTAAATAAATTAATATGTGAAAAGCACTTAGAACAACAGGAGACACATAATAACTGCTGGCTTGAATAATAGTAATAATAATTCTAATGGATATGCTTAAAAAGTGGCTGGTGAGTTGTCACGTTTCAGCAATTATATACATATATACACATATATACACACACATATATATACACACACATATATACACATATACATACATATATACACACATATATATACACACATATATATACACACATACACACACACACACACACACACGCACACACACACACACACACATATATATATATATTTTTTGAGATGGAGTCTTGCTCTGTTGCCCAGGCTGGAGTGCAGTGGCGCAATCTCGGCTCGCTGCAAGCTCCGCCTCCTGGGTTCATGCCATTATCCTGCCTCAGCCTCCCAAATAGCTGGGACTACAGGCATCTGCCACCATGCCGGGCTATTTAATTTTTTGTATTTTTTTAGTAGAGACGGGGTTTCACTGTGTTAGCCAGGATGGTCTCGATCTCCTGACCTCGTGATCCGCCCGCCTCAGCCTCCCAAAGTGCTGGAATTACAGGCATGAGCCACTGCGCCCAGCAGCAATTATATTTTTTAAAAAGTCTTTGTATTTTTTATTCCTTTTGTGTGGGTAGAGACTTTCCTTTGACATAATTTTATTTTCCAATTTATGTTTGATGCTAACCTAACCTTCTTTACTGAAACCAACATTCTAAGTTGTTGGCAGATTGGGAGCAAAGGGTGATACGATAGCTTTTCTTGTTCCAGGGCCCTGGTGTCATCCTCTCCATCCAGTAATCTCACCCTGACTAGTATGATAGTAAACTATCTTCCAGGTCAGTGGTAAATTTTAGGGTCCACCAGTCCCAACCCTTTATAATCTATCCTTGTAACCACCTTGGGGCCACTGAGCTCTATTTTCATACTCAGGGATGCCTCCAGCTCACTGGATTAATCCCAAGGTGAGGAAGTCATATGTAACAGGCTTGGTGCACTTCAGTTATCAGCATGTACCCTGTAGTCAGGTCATCCCCCCTGTGTTCCAGCTTCACCATCACCTAACTATGACTTGGTCTATGTGCTTAGCTACACTGAGCTCCACTTTTGTTATTTGGAAAAGAAAGCTAATAATAGCTACCTTTTAGATCCGTTATAGGATAGGATTCCAAACAAGTTTGTAAACTCTTAGCACAGAGTAAAAGAATGGCAATTGATTGTCGTTGTGAATAGTATCATATACTTAATCAATGAAGATTTTTGCCAGCTAGACTCGAGGCTGTGCTCCATTTTTTTCTACAATAGCTCTGCATTATTCCCAGGTTCAAGTTTACCCATGAGCTCTGCTCCTCCTAATGGAGTTTGTGCCAATGTCTATATTCGAGAGCTCCTGTGCTGACGACATGCCCTACGTTCCAGTCTTTGTTTAAAAAAATAGAGAGCTGGCTCACTCTTTCTAGATCCACATTGCCAGCACCCCATAAGCCTACGCCATTTACAACTAATCATAAGATAAGGCAAATTTATGTTGTACTAAGATAATTACAATGCTTGGCTAAATAAAGGTAATGGCCCTTAGCTATCAAAGGTCAAAATTCATTTGGAAGTCAAAGGTCAAAATTCATTTGGGAGCTGAGGCTCCAGATGTAAAGAGGTACCAGAAAAAAACAGAATCATGTTCAGAGAAGGGTCAGCAAGATGAGAAAGTGACTGGAAACCACACTAAATAAAGAGCCATTACAAAGAGAACTAGAAGGAAATTTCAGGAAAAGGTCATAGCTTTCTTGAAGGGCTGCAAAGGAGAACAGTAGATAGATGTAATTACGCTCAGAACCAGCACCGAGAGAAAGATCTTTCCAACACTTAGCACATTGGCTAAGTGTTGCATTAGGGATTCTAATGAGACCATCTTCCCCAGAGAGAAGACAGTACCACTCCTGGAGGCTGTGTGCTGTGTGAGCACAGGGGTCTACGTGAAGCGTTTTATTTTAGGAAGATGTGTGGGATTAGATGGTCCCAAATGTCATTCTAACTCTCTGACTTTATGATCTGATCATGTTTCAGGGCATTAGTGCCTTGGGGTGCTTTGTTGAGTCTCAGAAGCTAGTACTGCCTAATGCATTTGACATTTAGAGGCAAGGAGCATGTAAATATCCTATCGGTTTCTCACAGTCCTGCTGTGGCTGAGGTGCAAAAGTTTTCTTTCTGGACCATCACAAGGTGAGGAGATCAAAGCAGCAACAACATGCATGGAGAGCAAACTTAGAGCTTCTGAGCCTTTGCAAAATGCTTCTTTATCCCTAACAATTAGGAATGCAAAAATGTTACAGTTTTCATAAAAATTAACACTGTAAAGATAACCTCAGTATGAAGCTTCTATGTGTAGAATAAATATTAAATTATTCAGTAAGATATTTCAAATACATTCCCTACTTGAGGATTCTTAAAAATCTCCCATGCCCTATTTGAGAAAATCTTCACTCAGATACTTAATTTTCTTCGTTCCTCAAAGCTCTCTTTCTCTGTTATTTAAAAGCATGAATCTTCCCATTGACGGAGATATCAAATGCCTGCCATAACTAGATTTAATCCTAGAATATCCTCTTCTCTTCTTCTCTTTGTAGACATTTGATTTAGCTTCACCCACACAGAAACTCAGAAAGGATAACCTATTCTTTGCATTGTTATTGACAAATGCTTACTTGTTATTGCAATAGACTATGACAATAAGTTATTTGCTATTGACCAAATTTTGACAGTGCCATAAAATATTTTAACTTGAACTGACGTGGGAGTAGATGATCATGTAGTCATTTCTCCTAAATAGTACCCAGGGGTGCCTACATGCTCTGTCCCAGAATAAATAACCCTCCAGGGATTTGAGATGAAAGACCATCACTAACGAGATATAACCACTCCCAAGGAGGGCAGATCACCTGAGGTTGGGAGTTTGAGACCAGCTAGACCAACATGGAGAAACTCCATCTCTACTAAAAATACAAAATTAGCCAGGTGTGGTGGTGCATGCCTGTAATCCCAGCTACTCGAGAGGCTGAGGCAGGAGAATCGCTTGAACCCGGGAGGCGGAGGTTGTGGTGAGCCGAGATTCGTGCCAGGGCAACAAGAGTGAAATGTCATCTCAAAAAAAAAAAAAAAAAAAAAAAGATATAACCACTCAGCAAGGTTTTTATGAAACATATTGTAATAAAAATGCATGTAAAATTGGAATGTTCACAAATACATGCTGCTGTTCTTGATCTTCTACAAGACAAGACAACAAATTGACGGAGTATTTGCTAAAAATACTTCTACATATCCTCCTGACTTGGATGACTGACACATATGTGAATCTAGTAAATTAAATCCTGTGGTCAGAAGTCTTTGACGTGCATTCAACCAAACAAGGAGGCATGGTGAACATCCTCAAAGCAGCCAGGCAATGCAGCTTTGGGGCTGAGTAAATGGTTTGGCTTTTATTTGTAAATGTTGTGCTTTTCTTTCTTAAAGTTGGAATCTTGGAAATCTGTTGCCTTTTTTCCAATAGTGAGTTGAAATTGCCCTTCATTTATATTCACTTTGTTTTGTAATTAATAAAGATTAATTAAGATGAATCTTGAATTTTTTTCACTTCTCACCTTTTCTCTGGAACTTGAAATCCTATAACTGGTTCTTCCACAGCAAAAATATCCATCAGATCTGAGATCAGGATTCCCAGAGAACGCATCTTCACCGGTCACACCCGGAGGGCTTGTAGACAGCACGGTGGCGTGACTGGGAGACTACACAATTTTGTCTCTATCCTGACTGTAAGCATTTTGCCTGACAGGGAAAACAAAGCTATTTATATTTTAATTTCAGCTCATTTTAAATAAAATATCTTTCTGCTAGAGATAATTTTGCCCATTGATCATTTTGGTCAAATGTGAGTTATGTTACAGCTATCCTGTATCTCTCTCTTCATCAATACCCAATGAATATTGTGACTTAGAAAAAAAATTGGCCAAGAGATTGAGCTTCTAAGTTTCATATCCTTTTTTCTATTAGTCTTTCTCACTCTAGTGAGAAAAAGAGGAATATATTTATACTCAGACATTGTGTGTTCCCCAAAAGAGAGGCTAACATCATCCTGCATCTAAGTTAGCCCTAGACAAAGTTTGATTCAGCAAGATTTGTCCGTGGCCCTATCCATTTTCTTTTTTCAATATCATTTTACACTTTTAAAACATACTTTCTCCTTTCCTTCCTGCATTTCCTAAACATATGCCCTTCATTCCTATTCAGTAATTTCACTCTTCTTTTTCCTGTTTTCTTTCCAAACTACTTGGACTACCTCAAGAAAGCTGTTGGCTCTCTTTCCAGAAAATGCACCTACCCCAAAATTCTGGTAAGCAACTTTGGGAGTTTTACAAATACCAGAGATGCCTGATGGGCTAAGAACCTATAGTCTTAATGGAAAAATTAAAGTTTGCTGTGACAATAAGCCTTGTATAAATTAGTTCCTAAATCTAATTACTGCCTAAAAGACTATCATAGAGATCACATAAGTAATATCCCAAGAGTTTTGGGGGCAACCCTAGAATATAAACATAATAAAAATTATTCCATTTCTAAAAATTCCTGGGGTTCAAAGGACTGATTTTGAGTTGATAAAGAGTAAGAAAGGAGATATTATAACTGGAAAGATTCATTTCATTTATTAAGTGTTTGCTGTGTCTGGGTTGTTAAAAAATGTGGATAAGATGTCTTTGCCCTGGAAGGGCCCTCAGCCTCAAGGGTTGATTTTGATTCAGCAGGTAATTCTTACTCTTTAGTGTAAGGGCTTTGATATAAATGCACTAGGGACACCGAAGAACCCATGAGGGTTCAGGGATGGCTCACCAGGACATGTTAGCCAAATTAAAAGGTAGTAGAAAAATGTATGTATGTGTTGGGGGAGAAATGGAATCCAGAGAGAGTGAAAAGCATGCCCAGTTCACAGCAGTGTGGAAACAATATGGCGGGTTCAAAGAGCAACAGTGTAAATTTGGATTAATAGAGCACCAAGTCTGAAGGAAACAATGTGGGAAATTAGAGAAGATATTCAGTCAATGGCTTATATTTCATATTAAGAGTCTTAAAATTAAATATATATATATATATATATATATATATAGTGCAGAGGGATCTTAAGGAGGAGAATGGCATAATATTAATAGAAATTGCACTTCATGTGTTTGTCTTTAGCCATGAGGCAGATCCATGAAAAGAGGCCCATATAGAAGGCAGATAAAATGATGAAGAGACAGAGGCGATGCAATACAGTGACCTCCTGTTATGTCTCTCTTGCATCAGAACCCATCACAAAGAGCCACTGTTCATAAAGCTACTTTTTTTGTGATAGAAAAGAATGAATCTGGAATTACAGAGGGTTTATTTTTCTTTCCTTCCTTCATAGCTTTGGCTGAAATCTCTGTCCTAAGTCTTATCTTATTTAAAAAAAATGTTTTAAAGCAACTAAACATCATTGACAGAAGCAGCTTTGATGGATAATGTTCCATGATTTAAATAATGCCTTTTTTCCACATACACGCAGAGCTCTTCTGAGAAGTAGCAATTATAGGATTATCCACCACTTCAACTATGAAGTATTTGAGTACCTCTCAGGCTTTTCTTTGTTGAGTTAATAGTTGTTTGTAAGATGACTTTACTTGCTTTCTGAGTAATGGGTACTGAGAATTATTGTTTTTCTTCTCAAATTTAAATATAAAATTGAATTTGTGCCATCCTGGAAATCCTGACCAGCAAACAATTTATCTCCTGAAGTTCATTATATTGTCCAGTAAGATGAATGTCATGTGTTGTCCCATTATTTTTGAAAATGAGGGGAAAAAAGTTAGCCTCTCCAAGAAAGAAGACAAAGAGAACAAACAAACAAAAAAATAGCATCCCTTTAAATTAACAGAAAATGTAGGCAAGGAATTGTGCCTGGTCACCATTACAGCTACCAATCTATCAACAAACTGGGTGTTTTGAGGACATGAGTCCTTGGGGCACATCTCTGATGTATCCATGTTCTTCAGAAAAGACCTGCTGGCCTGAGGCCCATGTGCAGCTACTGGAATTTCTGACACTGTGCTCAAGGGGTAGTCAGGAGGAGGCCGAAGGATCTACCAATATCTCCTGATATGGTTTGGCTGTGTCCCTACCCAAATATCATCTTGAAGTGCAGTTCCCACAATTCCCATATGTTGTAGGATAAACCCGGTGGGAGGTGATTGAATTATGGGGCGGGTCTTTCCTGCACTCTTCTCCTGATAGTGAATGATTCTCATGAAATCTGATGGTTTTAAAAAATGGGAGTTTTCCTGCACAAGCTCTTTCTCTTTGCTTGCTGTCATCCTTGTAAGATGTGACTTGCTCCTCCTTGCCTCCCTCCATGATTGTGAGACCTCCCCAGCCATGTGGAACTGTAAGTCCATTAAACCTCTTTCTTTCGTAAATTGCCCAGTCTTGGGTATGTCTTTATCAGCAGCATGAAAACGAATTAATACACCCTCTGAATGTCCCAAGGGCTATTCACCCCTTTCCAAATTGTGTTCATTTCAAGACTTGGAGCATTCTCTTTTTGTTTTGTTTCTAGTCTTTTGATTTCAAAACTTACAGATTCAAAGAAGTTGCAAAAATAATACTTAATCAATAAGGCTCAAGGAAAGGAATTATGTCATTACGTTTTGTTAACAGCCATGACTAATAAATAACCACTGCTTCTTTCCAACTTCAGTTCAAGACTGTAGACATGACCATTAACATTAGCAAGACATTAAATGTTAAAGAACATGGCTATTTGGTCGGGAGCGGTGGCTCACACCTGTAATCCTAGCACTTCGGGAGGCCGAGGTGGACAGATAATGAAGTCAGGAGATGGAGACCATCTGGCTAACACGGTGAAATCTTGTCTCTACTAAAAACACAAAAAATTAGCCAGGCATGGTGGTGTGCACCTGTAGTCCCAGCTACTCAGGAGGTTGAGGCAAGAGAATCACTTGAACCCGGGAGGTGGAGGTTGCAGTGAGCCAAGATCGCACCACTGCAGTCCAGCCTGGGCGACAGAGTGAGACTCTGCCAAAAAAAAAAAAAAAAAAGAACATGGCTATTTAAATATAATATGAAACTACTATCATATGGGTAGTCTTGCTACTTAGCAGCTTAGTCATTGGTGGTTCAGATCCACACCAGAAGCATTAAGGATCTTTGAGTTTTTGCTTTCAATTCTGTAGAAGAGACAAAAGCCCTGTCCTTTCAAGTTGAAGAAGAAAAACACACACATGCACAGTGTATGTGCAAAGAAATAACTGATCCACAGGTTTCCCTCATAAGATCTAAGTACAAATTGCAGAAAAATTGAAAAACTGCTTTAATTATTTCATTTTCTCTGTGTAAGCAAAAGAAAAATACGTGAGTAAATACATATATTAGAAGTAATGGTGGAGAAAGGCTTTTGTTACTAAATTATCCTCAGAAAATTCAAAGAAACAATCAATAGAATCAAAAAAGCAATCTGTTTTATTCAATAGATTGTACTTTGTTTATGAGCCACCGGTGACCACTAATAAATGAAATGATGTTTGCCTTTGATGAATCTATTTGTATATCACTAGTTTTGAATTTCATTTAGCAACACAAGCCCAGGGAACACATTTATGGAAAACGAAACAAAACAAAACAACAAAACTGGCTCTGAGTAGATCATGGGCGTGAAGTAGGTCTTAAATCATTTAAAGTCATCCTCTGTCATTTAAAAATGCCTATGGTAAATCATAAAATCAGAAATGCTGCTACTAACACTCTTGAGTCTGGAGTCAGAGTGGTAAGGAAAAGAACTACATTGAGTCTGAGGGTTCCTGAGTGCTGGTCTCAGCTCACTCACAGACTTGCATGGGCTGACTATGAAATGTTTTCTCATCTACATGCATTATTTTCAGATGAGTGTCATGGTTTATAAAGAGATTAAATTGCTTGGTTTTAAGCTCCCTTTTAAATTTAAGTTAGGATTTGATGCTAGTGTCTATTAATATGAAATAAACACAAACTTCAAATTTGAGTAAAATAAAGAGGAAAAATGAATGTGTACTGGACTAGCATGCCCCTACAGAATTCTCAGGAAGGAGGACGACTATAGTTTTAAAATATTTTATTTTATTCTCTTTCAAATACATTTTATTTAATATTTTAAATGTTTTATTTTATAAATTTAGAGTTATAAATAAGTTGTGAAACTATTACCTGTATTACAACGCGTAAAAGAGACTTCTCCTATACCTTTGTCTAGCTTTCCCTGATGTCAGCCTTCTCTATAACCATGAAGATAATTACTGAAACCAAGCACTTAACATGGGTACTACACTATTCTCTGAACTACAGACTTTATTCTGATCTCGCTACTTTTTCCTCCATTGTCTTTTTTCAGTCCCAAGATCCCATCCAGGATCTCACATTGCATTTAGTTGCCACAGTTCCTTAGTCTCCTCCAGACTCTGATATTTTCTTAGTCTTTCATTGTTTTTTTTTTTTGCACATCTAATTATTTATTGAATGAACAAAGAAACTTTTCCACCAGAACTGTTCTGGTTTCTGCCAGAACAGAATATATGTACCTTATACGCATGTTGAAAATCTACCTCAGTTTGCTTTAAAAATCTATTCCAGGCCTGTTATAAAAGATTCCTAAGCATTATTTATTATTCTGGGCTTCAAAACCCATTAACAAGTACTTACACCCCAGATAGATCAAATTGTAGACTAAACTACAGCTGGCAAAGATCACAGCACTAATAGAAAATTCTCTGAATCTCTTGAACTTATGGGTTCTAGATAAGAAAGGACTGAGGAAGAGCTCTTCAGTTTGGGAAACTGAACTGAGAACAAATTATTACAGAGCTATTGGCACCAATTGGTGACTATTTAAATGTGTTGTTAGGCCCATATTCCTGATGGATTTATTCCAAATTCAGTTTCATATTTAGGAAACAAATGAGATTAATACATGTGTGTACCCACATGTAGAAGCATATTTACAAAGTATAGATGAGCAACAATCTGGTGGGGGTGTTATCTGGGCATCTTTAGTGCTAGCTAAATGAACAGCTCACCAACTGCTATGGTTTTACAGTCAGCAGAAATAAGTGGCTGGAGTTCCAGACATCAAATCCTTCTATATAGTTATTCAGTGGCAACATCAAGTACATGAATGGAGGTGTTAATTCAGAATTGTGTGTGTGAAATAAACAAGGAAGACTAGAAATCCCATTAAGATATTCTCCCTTGGCCCCTCATGCTCACATACACACACTCTCTCTCTCTCTCTGTCTCTCTCTCTCTCTCTCTCTCACACACACACACACACACACACACACACACACACCCCACATATGACCCTCAGGCAGTACACCCTCTAATGGAGCACTAACATCAGGCATGACTTGGTGGCTGCTTTGGGGAATCAGGTGCTCAGCTTCCGCCATCTTTGCTCTGTGACAGTTTCTGTGTCACATACACCATCACCAGCCTGACACATGTATGCCATCTCCCTTAATAACCCAGGGAGGTCTTGGGGGTCAGAGGTTCCCCTCAAATGACTGACAGCCATGGAGGCACCATACCTGCAATAGAGCCGTCAGCTGGAGTGAGACGACAGGACCCCGTGGGGAATTCCTTTCTTTTCCAACAAGGAACCTTCACTCAGCATGACCTGCCTTGGAGAAAGCTTTGGACAAGGTCTTTTCTTTTCCCCTTCAAATCCTGCCTTGAAACAAGCTCTCTTGGCCACCTGCAATTGCTGTAAATCAATTTCCAAACAGAAATCACTACGCAAAATATGCATAAGCCAAGATGGGTAAGAAGATGACAAGTTGCCCTGCCCTGCCTCCTGTCATGTGGGGTCTCCTCTCTCATCTTCTACAAAGCCCCAAGAAGTTCAAAGAGGACTCAGACTCACAGATATTTAAGACTAGAGATGGCTCAGATTCTTCTGCCTCTGCCACTACCCACAACCTAAACTCCTCTTGCTCCTTTGGTATATTTGATCGTTATTGTTGTTTGGTTTTTGTTTTTGTTTTTGTTTTGTTTTTTGGTGTTTTTTTGCTGCTATAAAGACACATGCACACGTATGTTTATTGCGGCACTATTCACAATAGCAAAGACTTGGAACCAACCCAAATGTCCAACAATGATAGACTGGATTAAGAAAATGTGGCACATATACACCATGGAATACTATGCAGCCATAAAAAATGATCAGTTCATGTCCTTTGTAGGGACATGGATGAAATTGGAAATCATCATTCTCAGTAAACTATTCCAAGAACAAAAAACCAAACACCGCATGTTCTCACTCATAGGTGGGAATTGAACAATGAGAACACATGGACACAGGAAGGGGAACATCACACTCTGGGGACTGTTGTGGGGTGGGGGGAGGGGGGAGGGATAGCTTTAGGAGATACACCTAATGCTAAATGACGAGTTAATGGGTGCAGCACACCAGCGTGGCACATGTATACATATGTAACAAACCTGCACGTTGTGCACATGTACCTTAAAACTTACAGTATAATAATAATAAAATTTAAAAAAAGTCTTTCATTGTTTTCTATGACCTTAACAGAGTGTTTTGAAGACCACTGGTCTGCTCTTTTGTAGAATGTCTGTTCACTTGGGTTTAACTGATGGTCGCATTAAGACTTTGTGTTTTTGGCAAGAATGCAACAGAAGTGATGTGTCCTCCAATATCTCATATCAAGGGTCTATGATGCTAACATGTCATCCGTATGATATTGTTTGTATAAATAAATTTTATATTCCCCTATAACTTCCTAAGGCTGGATATCAACAAATTTTTATTCATTTTTTCATTTAACAATAAGAAATACAAAACTCTATCACTCTTAAATCTTAATAAGTGCAAAGAGTAAAACTATATATTCTTTATCTAAGAAGGATGCTCAAGTATGAAAAGGAGAAAATGGAAATTTAAAAGGGATAGGGGAGCTGTTTCAAACTCATGTAACTAACGAAGTTTCTTTGTACGGGCAGCGATTGTATTTGCAATTAATAACATAGCCTTTCAAAAGCTTAGTGGAAATACAAAACAAATGACAAAAATAGACATGAAAATGTCTTTTTATATTTGTATATATATTCACAAATACATATATTTGTGAAAAGATACTCAATGATCTTTTCACTGAAAAGATACTGTAGATAGTGTCATCTATATATTTTTTACAACTGGTCTGTGTATAATTTTGCCACACTCTGTGTACAAAACCCCTAAAACATATGATTATACAATTTAATAAATCGATTTTCTTACTACTAATTTACCTAATGAACATAAACGTTCTTTGCATATTTACTTTCTACCTCTAGGTCTACCTATTATAGATATCCCCCCTGATTAATCCCTCTTCTCTTTGTTCTGCTTTGTAGAAGTTAGGTATAAACCAGAAAGACAGCAGGACATTGCATTCCCAAAGGTGAGATAAGATGAAGAGCTTTCTTGCTTCCATTAAGTTAGATTTGTGCTGCATTTACTAGAATGTAATTTGAAACAATTAAGCAAGAGGTTGACAAATCCTGAAAGTGAAAGAATGCCCCGAAAGAGGATGAAGAAATAAATGAAAAAGACAATTAAAAAACAAATACTCAGCTGTGAGTTTAGGAACAGCAAGGAACTCTATCACTGCATTTAAAATTACTAAGGCTGGTTTGCTGGGTTAGATATACTACAACTCAGAGTTTCAAACACACATCTTAACTTGAGAAATGAATTCAACTGTGTTCCGGAAAAAACAAAGTTAATGTTTTTAAAACTGCTGATTCCCAGATGAATTAAATTAAAACGATAACAAAATATATTCAGAGATGAAATATGAAATAGCAAAACTGTAGCAAAAAATAATTATAAAATTCTTACTTCATGAATGTTAAGTTTAGCCTAAAGCTGCCTTCTTACATATTTTAAGTTCTTCCTAAAGGTTTTTTGTACATAGCGAAGTGCAAAATAACTTGTTGTGTAAACAGACTGTGACATACTCTTGTGCCAATTACAGATTTTCAACCAATTACGAGCAGTCAGCTGGTCAACCCTTTTCAAATAAGACAAACATGGAGCTGTAACCGATCCAGCTATTTCTGTACCTCACTTCCATTTTCTGTGTGGACACATTTTTTTTGTGTCCATAAATCATCTCCAATGGTGGGGCAGCACTGAAGTCACTCTCAACCTATTCTGGTTGGTTCATGGGCTGCCCAATTCACCAATTTTTCTTTGCTCAATTAAACTCTGTTAAATTGTCTTAAATTTTTCTTTTAATGTGAGGTACAATTCACATTTTTCTATTTTCCATTTAATAACCTAAAAGAACAAAGTTCCAATGAGAAACTCTTTAATTTGAGCAATAATTTGTATTTTTTTAAATGAAAGCCTGATGTTATTTCTGATTTCATTTCTTTTTTGTATATATTTTATCATATACACTTAAGCAAATCTTAGTCAAAAATCAAAAGGCAATCACAAAAGATTGTAAAGATACCTGTCAATCAAATGCCCACCTTCTTCTGCGCATTTGTTAGAGAAGATGAAGAACAAAACTTCTTTTGTTATTTAAAAGTTAATGAAGGTGGCTGGTAACTCTGCCCTGTCCTGTTCAGCAGCATTGTGTTTGGATCTGGATGTGGGGATTCAACAGGTCTTTAACAAACAAAATTCCAAGTAATAGTTAAAAATTTCAAGGATGTTTAATAAGTGATGGAAAAAGACTAGACTATAATAGCTGCCTCTAAATATCTGAAGCATTGTCAGGTGAAAGAGAGATTTGTTTCATTCTCTGAGACTCTTGGAGGGCAAAAAGAAAACAAAGCAGGAGAACGTTGCAGAAAGGAAGATATTGGCTCATTGTAAGAAAGGACTGTCTGATAATTATTTTGCCTGAAAATATATCTAGCTTTCAAGAGAGATGGCACATTTTACATCACTAGGTATGTACAAAAAAGTGAGATGACCTCTTATTATGGCTGTTATAGAGGTATTCATCCATCTGGTGATGTTATATTAAATAATTTTCATGTTTCCTAATACCTCAGAGACCTTATACATGTAAAATAGTTATGTAAAACAAGTAAGTAGAATATTTAAATTCCATAAATGTGTTCCTTTGTTTAGAAAGCTCTTAGTCCATTATGTTGTAAGTTGATGAATGAATATATATGAAACTGTCCTAGAGCTTCTATTTTAAACCTCAGGATTTTATTAGTAGTCATCAGTGTATTATGTAGTAGCTAGCTATCTAGATAGATGTAGAAAGTTACTCAGTTATATATATATATATACACACATATACATATATATGTATATATTATATATATGCGTGTGTATAGATAGATACATAGTTATTCAGGCTAAGAAAGTAAATAAAGCAATCAAAAAGTCAGTATTTTAATTTATACTTTACATGGCTTTAAGTTACAAAATCATTTTTGCTGAAGCACATACAAGGCCTTAAATAAAATAAGCCCATACTCATTTTTAGAAAATCCTTAAAATTATATTTCCTAAATAAATGTTACTGTTAATAACCAAATTCTTTATGATAATTTCTAGAAAGTTTCAGAGACAGTTAATTTTCTGTGAGGAATTTGTTTTATTTCTATTAAATGTATTCTGTTTGTATTGTTTTTGAATGTTCACAGTCTGATTCTGTTTCCTTCACTTCTGTCTTGGGAAAAAAGAGTATCAGAGAACACAAACAGCTTGGGCTGATATAGAAAAAACAAAGGTAAGGAAAGGGCATTTTCTTCAAGTCCTATTATACCAGCCTCTTTGGTTTTTTGTTTCCTCATTTATCAAGGATGGATGGGAGTGAGGCCTGGAGCTGCCCAACCAGGGGCTGGCACCTCCAAACAATTAAAATAGCCTGATATGATTGGGGCCAGATTTAAATTAAAGAAAGACAAAGAGGGGACATGGATTCCAGCAGATACCTCATGAACCAGCAATACACTGTACCAAAACTGGTGAATACATGTGGTACATACAAGGCAGTAGGAAACAAACCAGCTTGCAAAGGTAAGGGAACTAAGAGAAATCTTTCCAATCGTGCAAGACTTGAAGGAGGGGGTCTTCCAAAACTGCCATTCTCAGCTGCCCGTCCCAATATTTAAATGAATAGGAGTAAAAGGGGAGGAGCTATAACTAAACTTGCTGAGCATTGTGTCACCAAGGCTGATCTTCTCCAAAAGGCAACTCTCCTATTTCTGGGACTATCTATGCTAGATGATGATGATGATGATGATGATGATGATGATGATGATGATAAAAAATAATTCTAGATAAGCCTATGGAAGAGTGATTCTCACTTGAGAATCTTTTCTTATTGCCGTCATGGATAATATAAAAACCCTACAATAGGCTCTTCCAAAAAAGGTTATAAAAAATGAAGTAGGCTAAGAATCCATTTCCAATGACTCTTATGTGGGGATTAGTAGGATTTTGATGTTTTTAGGCTTTGAAGGGTATACTATTCAACAAAAAACGTTATTAAGCACCCTAAAGCTATCCATCTCCTCCCGACCATTCTCCACATTGGACCCAGAGGTAGCATTCTAAACTGTACATGTGATTAAGCCCCTCTTGCCTGTTCCACTCTTTGAAGTCTTCCCCCGGCCATAGCATTTCAGACCCTCTCCAGCCTCATTTCTTACCACCCTTCCTTTTCTATGTTGCTAAATGAAATTCTGCCACGTGCTTCTAAGGTCCCCTGTGCCTTTCGTACAAGGACACCTAACACTTTATTATTTGCTCTTTGTATCTGTCTATCTTACCTGAAAAAATAGAAACTCTGTGACATACAGAATGCCATACCTTCAGTACCTAGCACGGGGCTTGGTACGTAATTGGAATACAAAAAATATTTATTGAAAGAATGAATAAATAGACTCAGTGGAGAAACAGGGAGGCACTGGGCGAGTACATTTTTATCATGGATCTATAATGCATTCCCCTCTTTCCTATAAGGACCACGAGAATGATCCTTTTTGCAAATAGAGGAACAGAGGCAGAATGTTTGATGCCGCTTCTAAATCACACAAGTCGTTACTGTGGAGATGCCCTCCCCTCAAATTGAGATTTATTTTAACCATGCTGTCACAGACAAAAACACCGTCTACTGGATTAAGTTCCCAAAAAGGAGAGGAAAAAGATATTAAATGGATCAATATAGAAACCAGATATAAGTGTAGTTTCTCCAGAGGTTTTACTTTCATTAACTAACTTACCGAGGAAAAGTATTGCACAAATAATCCATGGGTATAAAATGATCCTGGTATTTGGAAGAAACTAAGAAAAGGACTGAATTTGCCTAGAGGCATTTCGAGATTAACCTATCTATACCATGTTGCTCCAACGGAATTAAAGGCATCACAGGAGATAGATATGCCCAAAACCTGATTTTCAATCTCTCGATAGTTTATCAGATCTCTGGCATCACCACGTTTTTGTAATTAAGCAAACCAGGCTTGCTCACACATAAGACCTATAAAAAAGACAGCTTCTCCCATTTCAGCACACTGCGTACTCCACGTCACAGGACGGACTCTGGTGTAAAATAAAAGGAGAGCACTCTGGTTAGCAAACACCACACCAAACACTGCCCTCTGGCCTTGCTCCACTGAGACTAAAAAGATCCTATCAGCCTTTTCAGGTTATCCACTCCACAGGACTTTGGATGTCTTCCGTTTCTGCAGCTGGTTACTTTTATGGTACAATCTGAGATTAAATATAGAAAAGAAGAAAAAAAAAGAATTGCAAGAAGTGTACTCAAAATATAATAGTCCCACTAGGAAGCATGCAACACTTAAACCTTGAACACCAATGGCCATACACAACACTACCATGGCCTGACCAATAAATCAAACACACACGGCTGTGACTATTATCTGTATACCCCAAAGTCTCCCTGGTGAAAGATAAGAATCTACCTTTGAGTTTTTATAGGAATGTAACAGGAAAGGGTAGCCTTAAAGTTCTAGTGGAGGGAAGAAAAACAGAACATTTAACCTATGTTTACGGAAATCTATTACAAAGTCATGATGCCATAGCAAATTTGTGCCCAGCAATGTATGGCCGGGTGTTTACGATCTTTGTAGGCTGAAGTTCACCATGAAGACTTACACTTCTGTGGCTTTCTCCTGTGGGTGTTACTACCTTACCATTTGAAGTCTCTTAGAAACTCTTAGCGTTGAACAGTAAACCTGTTGCACTTCCAGCGCCTATTCAGATAGTCTTCTGGATCATCACAGAGAGATGTTTCCTAATCTTGCCTTTTCCTTTCATCGAGGGTGGTTACAATGTGCTAAGACCTGTGAGTTCAGGGTGTCTGGCTGTTGAATACCTTCCTCTCCTGATGTCAGTCGAGTGGGTTCCGTTTACCAGCTGTGTGACCTTGGGAAAATCCCTTAACCTCTCTGTGTCTCCTCTTTCTCTTTGGTAAAATGGGAACAATTATAGTCCTCACCTCAGAAAATTGTTGTAGGAATTGTTACAAAGCAATCAATGAGCTTCCCACCCAATGCTCATAGAGGCCAATACCACAGCACCAACTTTAGGAAAAAAAAAAAAGCTTTATTGCAAATCGACTGGTAAGGAAACAGGAGGAAATACTCAAATCTGTATCTTCGGGCTGGGGGCTGGGTGGGGTTTTATAAGCATAGGGTAAGGAGGTGTGATCTGATTGGATCTTGCAGTAGGTGATGCCAGGAGGCATGATCCAACTGGATCCTTCCATGGGGTGACCCCAGGGCTCAGTCTGATTGGATCCTGGATCCTGCCATATGGTGTCCACTTCTCACATTGGTCCCTCCTCTTCCAGCTCTCCCACTGGAACTCTTGGGTTCCCCCTGTGGTTGTGTGCTTGGTTCATTTGGGCAGGCTGAGGTTATACGACCTTCAACTCGGGGGTCCATGGCAGCTGAAAGACAATTCGCAACTTTGTTACATAAAAATTGAACCAGATTGGTCTGGTGTGGCTGCAGAATGAATGAAAACAGAGAAGACTTAGAACTGTGTCTGGCACACAAGAAGAGCTAGAGAGGGGTTGCTAATACTCCCGTTACTCACAAATGAGGCTTATAATATATGATTTAGGAAAGAGGAGTGATGTTCCTTCTCTCAGAGAGTCAAAACCCTGTTCTCATGACACCAAAGGTATCTTCTCAACTCCCTCAGACTCCTTCTGCTATGCTCACTTAATCTGTCAGATAAATTAAGTGAACTAGCTTCATAGTTACCTATGTTTATAACAATTATTTTCTGAAACAATGAATTCCATTTCTAAACTACTTTCAGAATACAACTCATTAAAATCAGGGACTGCCCTCTGAGCTCTCCTAGCTGACATTTAGCATGGTATGTGGGCTAAGAAAGACAGCAGAAGAGAAATATTTTATGGCAGCATTAGGCCATTTAATTAATATAAACATTTAGGAAAATCACTGTGAGTGAATCTGATAGTATGCTTTGTGCATGAGTGGTTTTGACTAACCATACCAGTTTCTACAGAATAGTTACGGTTGGCCGGGCGCAGTGGCTCACGCCTGTAATCCCAACACTGTGGGAGGCCGAGGCAGGTGGATCACCTGAGGTCAGGAGTTCAAGACCAGCCTGGCCAACATAGTGAAACCCTGTCTCTACAAAAATACAAAAATTAGCTGGGTAAGGTGGCTGACGCCTGTAATCCCAGCTACTCGGGAGGCTGAGGCAGGAGAATTGCTTGAACCTGGGAGGCGGAGGTTGCAGTGAGCAGAGATCACACCATTACACTCCAGCCTGGGCAACAAGAGTAAGACTCCGTCTTAAAAAAAAAAAAAAAAGTTATGGTCTTGTTTTCAAAGTGCTTCCTAAGCATATGGGCAAGTTACCTTGTTTAACCTTTGTCCTTGGCCTGATCGAAAGCAGCAGAGATGCATTTGGTTAAAACCTTCCAGTTAATAGATGAATGCTTTGAAACACTGCTCATGATTTTCATTCCTTGTAATTATATAATAAATAGAGGAATAAAATCTCAATAAATTGTGTCCTGAGCAATGTTTGATTCAAGTGAAATTCCAATTTAATATGTTCTATGGATAATTTCATGTTTTTACCTTAAAATTTTTTAAACTTTTAGGTTCAGGGGTACATGTGGAGGCTTGTTATACAGGTAAACTGCGTTTCACGAGGGTTTGGTATACAGATGATTTTGTCAGCCAGGTAATAAGCATAGTACCTGATCCACACCCTCCCTTTCCCCATTAGTATGTGTCTTGGGAAGAAGCAGTGTGGTACTCTGAGAAAAGTATGACTTTTGGATTTAATCAGACCTGCATTTGAATCCCGTTTCTGCAACTTTACAGCTGTGGGAACTTGGGAAATGTGCTTAGCTTCTCTGAGTTTGTTTCCTAAACTATGAAATAGAGATGAAAATGGCCGATGGCACACACCTGGGCCAGTGCCTGACGCTCGTAGGTGCTTCAGTTGTGTTGGTTCTTCTCTCCTTTTCCTCTCTGCGCTCATTGAAGTGCAGGTCCCAAAGACTTCCATGTGGGTAGAGCACTTGCTGCTCCATCGCTTCCAGGGCAGTGCTTTCATGCCACTAACTTAGGACTAAAAACAACAACAACAACAACCCCACCAGCTTTCACACTCTTCTACTCTGTTTCAGTACCCCCTGCTGCTTCTTTCAAAGGAGAGCCTCTCATTCCCCCTCACCTCAAACATCTCTCAGATCCTAGGAATATGCATTATCTATTTTCCTCTTCAACCCAAATTAAAATTGTGGCTCTGCCACTTTTTGCTGTGTGACATTGGGCAAGTTACTTAACCTCTCTGTGGCTCCACTGCTTTGTCTATAAAATAGGAATAATAGAAAGACCTAACTCGAGGTCGTTTTGAGAATTATAGGAGCTAATAAAGGTAAATCACCTAGAACATTTTCAAGCACATGGGCAGCACTCAAATGCTAGCTACTATTGTTAATATTCTGCTCCAGCTCCCTGGGGCCGTCAACCCAGATTTTTCTCGTGGTCATGCTGTTCCCACACCAATCTTGTGTAACCAGAAACTATCTATGGCCACTCCTACCACAGCCACTGACACCTACAAGTAGGGGGCTAGTTCTTTAGGGTCTCTGATGAGCCACCTGCGACTTTCTGCTACCTGGGGACATCCCGCTGCCACCATGTACATGTGATGTCCCCTCTACCTGGCCCTGAAAGCCATGCAGCTGCCTGTCTGCCAGACAGAAACATTTGTTTCTGTTTTACTATTTTTTCATAGATATTTCTCTACCACTCAGGTGTGATTTCACAGGGCTGGACCAGGGGATGATATTGATGACACATCTTCCCCTAATCTCAGATCACCTTTTCTGACCAGAAGCCATTTTTTTTGGATCTATGGTCTGTGCTTTGATTTCTCCCATCCTGAAGGTCAACTTTGTTAGGAAGATTCCTAATACCTCTTGCAAATAAAGCTGCTCCTCAGTGTGCCTCACATGTCTGAAGCCTAGACCTCCACTGCATGCTGATGGTCCTCCTCTTGGTGATACAAGTCACTGAAATCTCTAACTAGAGTTTTGCACAGGAAATTTCCTTGTTAGAAACGTCAAAGATGATTTCAATAAAGCAGCCAGAGGACCTGATGCTACTCTATCAGAAAATATACAAAGCAGCAATATGATGCTACAGAGAAAAACAGTTTTCTTCCCTATCTATATGGTCAGCTTTAATCTAGTCTCAAAGAGGGGAACCCCAAATGTCTTTTGTACACATTTGTCCACAAATGGGTATTTGCATGTGGTTAAGTTGTTGACATTTCTAGGCAGAAGAATTGTTTGGGGAAAGCAAAGGATGAATATTTTCTACTTTGGTTTCAACTTCTTAATACTAAGTAGAAATCCCTTTTTCTGATACCACAGGCAAGATGACCACCTAAGAAACAGCCTGGACAAGTGTGAGTGCCAGAGTAGCAGCACACGTCTGCGACATTCTCACAGCACACACTGTGAGAATGGCACCTGCGCAGATACTAATCTCAAGCCATCCGCAGCGTGTCCCTGGTAAAAAGAAAAGAAAACCATAAGAGTTCTAAAAGAAAATGAGAAAAGAATATTTGCCCAATTGCCTTGGTGTTTGGTTTGAAATGAATAAATAGTTTTGATGAAATTTCATCATTAGAATGTAAGCTCCATGAGGGTAAGAAACTTAATCTGTCATGCTTACTACACGATCACCAGCAACTAGAATGTTTTTGTTTAATGTTCACTCAGAGTTAGTGACCATTTAACATATGAGAGCTATGCACTAGATACATAAAAGTTTATTCATTCATTCATTCTTCCATTTAGCATATATTTATTTAGAACCTACCAAGTCTACATGGACGACTGACTGAATGAATGTAAGAATTAATGAAGTTTTCTCGATATCAGAATTTAGTAGGTTTTGTATTTCAATTTACTGATACTTTGAACTAGTTAGGCTCAAAGTCTGACAGACCGTAGGATTATTTTTTAATGCTCCTTCAGAATTAATGATTACTTCGAATATGAAAGGTATGCATTGAAGTTGAACAAGTGCAAATTATAACATTCTAAAAAATACAGCTAGTAATTGTATTGCAGAGGTCACAATCAACAAGATCTAGGCCAGATGTACCTGAATCTATATCTAAATATTTTATATCTACGTAAACTTAAATTGTGGAAAGCTGTGATCTTAAAATATTGAACTTGGAAATTCTTATAAAAGATCAATGATTAGTGTAAAACATTAGTGTAGTGTAAAACCACTGTCATTACCTAAACTCTTGGGACACTGAACTTATGACTTTTTAACTGTGGGATTTTTCACTCTTCAGTTAGTTCTAGAGCTCATTATAAGGAAATATGTACACATAAGCTTAGAGGAAAATTTTTTTGAAAAACTACTATTGTCTTTCCTTCAGTCTTCTTACTGAGGAAAAAAGTGGTTGTCACAGATCTTACATTTATGTAGAGTATATTTAGTGAGTTACAACTTGGATTGTGTCCTGTGATGTGAATGCTGTGTTTTGATATCAATGGTTTCTACTGCAATCACAGAATTATTTTGCATTAATCTCTTTAAATAGAAATTATAACCTTTGGGTATGACATTTTGTTTAACAAAGATAAAAGCATTACAAAAACTAGTAATGGGTGCTTATTTAATATGTAAGTAATTTTAACTTAAAATATAGTCTATACTGGTGTTCTAAATTGATTCACATTTGTCATTATTCTTCAAACCTGCCCATCTTTATCTAAAATGTTTCAACAGATGTTTTGATTACCACATTAAAATAAAATAAAGTGAGTTTGATATGCATGAACCTTTGCAACCTTACAGAGTTACAGATTTAAAACATGATCCTGGGAACTAACTTTGTTTTGACTCTGAATTTTTTGTATGTATTTGTGCCCCCACCCTACTCCCATCTTTATGTGTATGTTAAAACACATTTGATCAGTTAAATTTGATCATGAAAGATGATTTGGCATCCATGTATGGCTGAGAAACCCACATATTAATATTAAAAAGGCTACTAAGCAAAAGAGCCCTGATTAAGCTTCTTTTAACCTAGCTACTTAAATAGCTAATCTCTACTTTTTATATCTGTTACATTTTATGCCAATCAAAAAGCCTTCCAAATCATAATTTTTAACAGTTTGAAAATGTTTGTTCCTGGCTTTTTAAAATTAGCATTGACTCCAGTACCTCTGATACTAGAAAACTAGTACCATCCAACATGTGCAAGATAAACATTTTAATGATATATGGTTTTCTGACCAATTTCTTTCTTCTTTTCTTCCTTCCTCTTCTCCTCTCCGCGCCTTGCATCTCACCTCTTCCCACCTCTCCTTCCTCCATCCCTTCTTTCCTTTCTACTTCTTTCTTTCTTTCCTTTTCTTCTTTCTTTTCCTTTTCCTTCTTATTTTTCACTTTCCCTTCCTTCTCTTCCCCTACCCTCATCTCTTCTCTCTGTAATGTCCTCATTATGTAAGCAAATGATTAAACCGTGGAGACATTCAAATCACAGAAGTGATCAAACAGCCACAAGGATCTTGATTTCCTCCTTAGAGTTCTGGAGAATTGGCTTAATCTCTTGCAGAAAACTCTTTTCTGGGTTGGATCAGCCTTACATAATTGGGTGCAACTTGAGTTCTACTTCAAATAAGAGGACCCTCCGGGCCAGGCTGCTGTGCACTTGTCTCCTTAGAGATTTTCACAATGCCTCTATGATAGCCAATGGCCACAAGAAGTTCAATAATCCCTAGTTATGAATTGGAACTGGTTTATTAGATCTTAGTCAATGAACAACATGAAGGAGTGAGTTGTATCTTAGAGGTGGCACAAAGGATTCATTTTAATTAGCCCTCAAATGTAAAAGGTTGTGAACCACAGAAGATCCATCTGTGCATTGAAAACTGTTATGTGTATAAGACTTCTCAGAAAGAAAAAGAAGCATAGAGAGTGGTGAATTGCTTTCCAGGAGAGAAATCTTGCATCTTTTTGGAATAAACACGTTTTGAGTATCTAACACCTATTTCTTCTGGGCACAGACGTTATTTCTAAACTGAATGTGTTTTTTGTTTGAGTAAATAAAGCATAGAATTTCACAGAATTATTTTCCAACTACAGAATTTCACAGAATTTTCCAGAAACTGGTATGTATTTCTTCCATAAGCTCAAGACCTTTCCTTTCAAATTATGCATCTGTGTGGATGATTTGTTGTGTGCAAGGAACCTCACAAGGGAAGAAGTGAAAGCAAAAAGCTAAGTGGTATACAACCTGATGGTTCTTACCTGTAAGGATCTTACATAAACAGATAAATTGGCTACCCAAACAATCATGGTGGAAGCTGTAGTCTGGCAATGAGCTCTTCTAGGACCCTCTAGAAGTGACCCAACCATTATACGTTTTGTTATTCCATATAAAAGAAGGAACAACATTGTTCTCTGCCCTCCTCCCCCAGGGGGACTGGGGATAAAGTTGGTAAAGTTTATAAAAGTTCTTGCTATTATTATTCGTCTTAATTTACTTGAACTTACTTGATCTATACTCTGCTAATGTATTGTCAGTGCTCAACACGCACACAAACATGCACACACACACACACACAAACACACACCCTTTGTGGAAGAATATATGCCACACCTCCCAGCTGATCAGCTTATAGGAGGAACATTAGCATGCTTGATAGAATGTCTTCCGTATGTGCAAAATGAATTTATGTTTTGTCCCATTTTGTTATGCAGGCTCCCTAATGCTTTTTAAACATGATGTAATCATAAGAACATGTGTATACATGTACTTCTGCATAGAGCACTAAAAATAAATTGACTTGCTGGCAAAAGTTAGAGAAAATCCTTTTCTAGCTTCTCTGTACCACTCAATAAATTATTACAGTCTGTGCACAAAACACAAATTACATGCTTTATTAGTATGTTCTGTGGTAACCTCAAAACCACAAGTGTTTACATGCGCTGCACACATGCACTTTGGGGCTTTTTAATAGCGGGTTGACAAGAGATTAAAGGCAGAAATATGGCATTTTATTAAAGCAAACATATCAGCATGCCTACCATGATAAAATGATCTAGTTTTCTTCAGACACGAAAGTTTCTGTTGAGTGATACCTTTGCAATTCCTTGAGGGCACCCTATTATTCACTTTCCTCAACAGAGAGCAGCTGCAAATGGCCTCCAATTTTCAAAGAGTGTTGCCTGGTCATTCTTTACTGTCAAAATGAAGAAGAGCATAAAAGTTAAGTCAATAAAGTAATATGAAATGCTTAATATAAAAATTCAAGAATGAATGATTAACCATTAAAAACTTGCAGTAGCTATTTCATCCAGGAAAAAAAATTAACATTTCCCCTGAAACCTATTAACACTCCTTGTAAACAATATTCTTTTTTGAAATATATGACCTTTCTTAATGCTCTCCACACACACAGCATTTTTCTTATATCCACTTCACCTCACTGATATGAAGTTGAATTCCCCAGAAGAGAGTGCTTCGAGCCCCTTCCTCAGAATCATATGGTCTTCTCTTGTATATTCCAAATGGATGCATTCATTTGTGTTAGATGATGCAACAACCTGTTGTTGTTAATACAACTTCAAAATTACAGACTTTGCCAGTGGACAATCAACAGGCCAAAGATAATGCCTACCTTGGGGCCCACGCTTCCTTATCAATCTATAAAATCTGATACATTGATAATTATGGAAATTGGTATACAAACCTGTTCTCGGTTACACCCATCTTTCATCTATGTCTCTACTGTATCTATGGATGTTGTGTAGAGGGCCATGTGCAGAGAAAAGCAGACTTAAAAGATTTTTTTTATATTTTTGAGGAAGCTATTTGAAAGAGCAGGGTTGAATTTAGTCTAGGACTTCTTTTCAAAGTTAAGTCAGAAAAAAAGCAAGAATATTCAGGACCTATCCTATAGCAAATCCCTCCATACCATGATGTTGCTAAGGAAAATAACTCCTTGGGCATAAGACTTACCAAGAATGATTTTGATGAAAAATGATATAGTTGGGGTCAACAAGACCGCTCTTTGAGGCTGCCGAATGTTTTCCACACCGCAGTTTTAGAGCTATTGGAGAAGCCTCCATCGTGTCATCCTCAGAAAGCCATCACCAGGGCTGTGTCCTGTTGGTTAACTTAGGAATGAGTGGGTATGACTTGTTTCTGGAAAAAATCTCACATTGTATGAATTTTAAGTATTCCTGTAAATTTATTTGTTTTAACGGATACTGTGAACTGTCATTTCTCATGTTTTATTCCAGGAATTGGACAGAAAATTTATTTGTTTTAACATATACTGTGAACTGTCATTTCTCAGATGTTTTATTCCAGAAATTGGACAAAGATGTTCAAACTGCTCCTAGTAGGGAGACAGGAAACATACTGACTGGTGGCCTTATTGGGTTATCAAGAATTTGTCTAGCAACTTAGAAGCATTCTGCTCTTGAGGAAAACCTCAAAGAAAAAGGATGCATGGAAAAGAAACAACTAAAGAATATACAGCAAGTTCTGGACAATAATACTCAAATGCTTTAGGTAGGTGCAGATAAAATGTGAAATGTCCCCTATATAGTCTTTGTTTGTTTGTTTTATGTTGACATTTTTTAAATGAAACAGTAGATTCCCCTCAAAAAACCCACAACTTACCTGCTCTCTCCTCACATGGATGAGCCTGGCCTTTCCATTCCTGCCCTATAGGACTAATTCTACAACTATCTCTGGGTAAAGGCTGGGAGGTGGGGAGGATCAATGTGGGGAGGGTCCCTTTGTATCCTCTTCTATCAGCCATTTCAATGCAATTTTAAAAAGATAAATTTTATATAATTAGCTATTTTTCATGCATTTGACTTATTAAAACACTTCTGAACAAGATATATGATTTCTGGTAGGTTTTAGTTACATTTACATGTGTTTATGTTGTGTGTGCATGTGTGTGTGTGTGTGTGTGTGTGTGTATTTTTGGTGTTACTGGCATAAGTTGTGCTATGCAATCTAGGAGATTGAAACTAATTATAGCAGTGAGGCTAACAAAGTGTGAAAAGTGTGAAAGCCATGAATCTGAATGAAACTTTCCACTTCTGTCTATGAGTTTTTATAAAAACTCTGATGATATTTTCACCCAAAATATGTGTTTTTCTTATTTTAAATTGTTAGCAAGCTAAATAAATCATCCTGATTATTTTTATATTACATGGTTAATTTATACATTTTTGCAAATGACATCAATTCCTTTCTTCTTGTGTCTCTTCTTGTCCTTTTTGCTTCCCTCTACAAACACTCAATGCATATTATATGTTTTTATATACACACATATGGACCATGGTTCTAGGTGTTAAACACACAGAGGCAAATTAAACTTCAATCCTGACCTCAGTGAAATTACAATTCAATTTGTAAGCATCATGATAAGGATAAGTAAAAGATTATGTGAAGTAATTCCCAAGATTGTTTATGGTTTTATGCTACACAGCACAATAAGTGACTAACATATGTTATCTCATTCAAACCTTTGGAATTGAGAAAGATATGAGAAATCTGAAAAAGAGATCAGGAACAAACAGACATAGAAGAAGAACTAGGAAGCTACAGTGTCACGCAACCCAGAGGTAAATTGTAAGTAATGCCAAGTGTCATGGAAAATCAAGGATCAGGCTGGGTGTAGTGGCTCACACCAGAAATCCCAGCACTTTGGAAGGCCAAGGTGGGTGAATCACTTGAGCTCAGGAGTTTGAGACCAGCTGGCCAACATGATAAAACCCCATCTCTACTAAAAATACAAAAATTAGCCGGGCATGGTGGCACACGCCTGTAGTTCCAGCTACTCGAGAGGCTGAGGCAGGAGAATTGCTTGAGCCTGGGAGGCGGAGGGGTTGCAGTGAGCTGAGATCATGCCATTGCACTCCAGCCTGGCCAAGAGAGCTAGATTCCGTCTCAAAAAAAAAAAAAAAAAATCAAGGATCAATATGGTATATAAGCAATGATTTGGAGAACGATGCCATCATTAATATTTAAGAAAGTAATGGAATGGAATTATTTAATTAGTCAAGGTGAATGCAGATATTTATCTTTGTTCACTTATGAAATTTTATTAAAATGACAGTAAAGGGAAAAGGAAAACATTACAAAATTAAATTAAAGGAAAAAGGAAAACATCACAAAATTAAAAAGTATTTAAGAAAAAAATGGTAGCAGATGAAAGATTTCAAGACTACTCAGGAAAATGGAAAGTGATAGCTATATGATAGCAAGCTTAGGTATCAGCCTCTCCACTCTATTCAGGGCCAAACAGGAAGCAAGTTAATTTTCACCAAGCAATTCCAGAATATCTCAAAAATTAGAGGCAGTGGGTACATATAGAGGCAAAGACACAGGATGAATGAGAAAAGGGGAATTGATAATACCCCATGATCTCACTCATATGGGGAATCTAATGAGTTGTTCATAGAAGTAGAGAGTAGAATGGTTATTACCAGAGGCTGGGGAGGGGATGAGGGATGTGGCATGGGGAGAGGTTGGTGAACAAGTATAAAGTTACAGTTAGCTAAGAGGAATAACGTCTGCTGTTCTATTACACAGGAGGGTGACTGTAATTAACAAAAATGTATTGTATATTTCAAAATAGCTAGAAGAGAGGATTTTTAATGTTCTCACCACAAAGAAATGACAAGTGGTAGAGATGATGGATATCCTTATGCAATAATAATGTGATCCTTATGCAATGTCTACATGTATCAAAACATCACACCGTACCCAAAAAGTACGTACAATCATGTATCAACTAAACACAAAATAAAACTTAAAAAAAAACTGTACACTCCAAATGCTCTCTCCTATCTGATAAGGAACAACATTTCTGCCACCCTACAGGAGACGGGATATTTACTATGGAAATACTTTGAACCAGAGAAGCTCTGGGCTCACAGACATCAGACACAGTTGAACATAAGAGTGAAGCACCACTGCAGTGAGCCGAGATCACACCACTGCATTCCAGCCTGGGCGACAAAGCGAGACTCCGACTCAAAAAAAAAAAAAAAAAAAAAGAGTGAAGCACCAGAAAGAGAGAGAGTGAAATCTCTTTCTTATAAGAATCCCCCCACCTCCTCCTACATACTCATCCTCTGGCATACCCCGATCCCTAACAGCCAGACAGACTACATTTAAACTGTCTTCCTTACCATCTCCCCCTGCTCTCACAGATGAGAGATTAGAGGGTTTACCCCTGGGAAAATTTCCCAGTCTAGGAGAAAATACCTACATCAACTGGCATTTGGAAGCCTCCAACCAAAAGGTTGAGTTTCTACATGGTCAACAAATCACACCCACTTACTTGCCCAGGACTTTCTTTTAGTGTATCACTGCATCATTTTGGAATATGAACGGAGATCCAGAATAATGCAACATGTTTTAAAGTCTCCAACATGAAAGACAAAGATCAAAGGAGATAGAAAAGGAACTCAGAGAAAATGAGACCATTAAGAGAGGAAGTGAAAGCTAAAAAAACAAATGAGCAAATGCAAAAGAACAACAAAACAACCCTGGAATTGATAACCTCGAAAAATAAGTGAGAAAGTAAGAGAAGATTCATGAAACCAGGAAGAATACTATTAAATAAAAGGAATATTCAGAAAACAATTACTCTCAGAAATTACCAACTAGTACAAAATAAATCAAAAATGCTACTTAAGGACTGGAAGATACAATAGAAGAAAACACAAAAGATAAAACAAAAATATATGAAAATGAAAAAAATGGATAAAAAAGAATCAATTTAGGAGCTACAGAGAGAACAACAAACTCAGAAGGAAGAAATCCCTTAAAGAAATAACAGAAACATCTCAAAATTAAAAATAACCCAAAGCATTTCTTACCACATTGAAGGGCCCAAGAAACATTCAACTCATTGAATGAAAGGACTCCACCAAAATGTGTCATTTAAAATACATACTTCAGGCTGGGTGTAGTGGCTCATGCCTGCAATCCCAGCACTTTGGAAGGCTGAGGTTGGCAGATTGCTTGAATTCAGGAGTTTGGGACTAGCCTGGGTAACATAGCAAAACTCTGTCTCTACAAAAATAAAAATACAAAAATCAGCCAGGCATGATGGTATGGGCCTATGGTCCCAGGTATGTGGGAGGCTGAGGTAGGAAGAGGGCTTGAGCCTGGGAGGTCGAAGCTGCAGTGAACTATGATTGTCCCACTGCACTCCAGCCTGGGCAACAGAGCAAGATCCTGTCTCAAATAATAGTAATAATAACACATACATACATACATACATACATACATACATACATACATACATACATACTTCAGCTGCCAAGCATGGTGGCTCACGCCTGTAATCTCAGCATTTTGGGAGGCCAAAGCTGGAGGATCGTTCAAGTCCAGGAGTTCAAGCCCAGCCTGGGCAATATAGGGAGACCCCATCTCTACAAAAAAATTTAAAAATTAGCCAGGTGTGGTAGCATGTGCCTGTAGTTTCAGCTACTCGGGAGGCTGAGGTGTGAGGATCACCTGAACCCAGGAGGTTGAGACTACAGCCTGGGTGACAGAGTGAGACCCTGTCTCAAAAGAAAAGAAAAGAAAAGAAAAGAAAACACTATACTTCTCAGCCATAAAAAAGAATGAGACCATGTCTTATGCAGCAACATGGATGGCACTGGAAGCCATTATCCTAACTGAAATCACTCAAAAATAGAAAGTCAAACACTGCACGTCCTCACTTATACATGGGAGCTAAATAATGGGCCCACATGAACATACAGAGGGGAATAGTAGATGCTGACTCCGAAACATGGGAGAGCAGGATGAAGGTTGAAAAATGACCCACTGGGTACAATGCTCACTATTTAGGAGATGGGTGTACTAAAAGCCCAGACCTCACCACTATGCAATATATGCATGCAAGAAATCCTCAGCAGTACCCACTAAATATATTTTTTAAAAATTTCAAGGCCTAGACTCCCAGAGAAAAGGAAGATCTTGAAAGCTTACAGGTGAATATCTTAGTATTAAAGTTTACCGTATCAATAAGGATGCTATAGTGCTGTCAAAGAATCTGAAGATAAATCAGTAATAAATACGCAGGGAATATAAGAAAACAACACAAATTAAGACAATTATTAACCTCCGAAGAATATAAGAAAGGGAATGTAATTGTAGTACTCTGCATTACTTAACTATGAACAATATGCATCTAGTTGTTATACTGTAAACAGGGACTAGTGATTTAATACAAAAATTGTAATTGAAATAGGGCAGGCAGGTGAAAAAAGATGAGGGGGGTTAGAGAGTTCCTTAGGAAAGATTCTTCTGTTGTAAGAAACCAATAAACAACATATAAAATAAAGTCCAGAAATAAGAATGCATGCACGTTATTTTGCAAAACAGATTTTCATGTCAGAGAAAATGTCCAAAAGAATTTCTGAGTAGTAAGTTAGAGAGGGGTAAGACCAACAACTGCTATTTTTATTTTCAAGCCTTATAGTTGTCAGTGCTTTTAAATGTATTTATATGTATTAGTTAGCTAAAAATTTTAAAATGAATACATTCAATGAGGTTAATCTAAATGCATTACTATCGTACTATGTTGAAAACACATTGTTATATTAAGCGGGCTGCAGAAAAATACATTTAGTACTAACCCAATTATGTTGTTAATATATTTAAATATTTACTTCTAGCTATAATTTTGTTGAAAACGACTTAAAAGACCACATCAAACTGGATGGCAACTCCATGGGAGGAACTTTGATTTAACTCAAAATAGGTTTTATTCCCTGAAATTTTTATATTTACAGTGTCTTCAGATATTACAGGCATAATTTTTAAATATTTGGACACTAAACAATATTCAGTCCATATGAAATTACATATATATGCATGGGAAAATAAATAAATTCACAATCACTGAAAGGTTGAGATGATATCTTAGGATAAAAGGCTTGCATTTCATTTTTACTCAATTATTTACACTTTTCTCTGTTGTTTGGATTTTTGGACAAGATAAAGCAAGTATGCATTAGCATAAGCAACCATGACATTAATATAAAGCTGCAACATGAAAATATATATGCACTAAAAACAACTCCCGTAAAGAAGGATAAAAAAAAAAGGGTTGTAATTAAGACGGTATGATTACAAGGGTGAATTTTTTTACTTGTCCAAATTTTGCATATGTGCTATTTACACGAAGAAAAAATGGCTGATAATATTAAATAAACAAGGAAGGAAAATGGTGAATGTGGAGAGAAAATGGAAGTGGGGGGCAGGTGGGAGAACTCCTGTTTATTAATCATTTACTATACGCTGAGCACTGTGCTGTGTGTCTTGGTGGCAGGGACAGCAGCAGCCAAAAGGTTTTCCCCACTGCCCTAGCACAGTATCAGATGTCCAATTAACATTCTTTTTTTTTTCTTTTCAAAAAACTATTTTTATTTTCTATATGAAGTATATTTAAAACTGGAGAACATGAGGACACAGATCATATTTTCCATAAGTCATGTCTTTCTTTGCTCCCAGCACTCTGTCCAGTGGGTCACCTTAGTGGCACAAACCATAGAGAATGGTGCAGAGAGTTCTCTGGGACAAAGTAAGGGCCAGAAGTGATGTGTCATAGATGAAAAAGCAGATTACTAATGAAACTGAAGAAAAACAACATATGGCATGGAATTAACCCACAACTAGCAGTAGGACTTAAAGATGAGAAATATTAGAATTTTTTTCAATGACAATATTATAATAAAGGAATAAAAGCATTGCTATCTAAGACACTGCTTACATCTGGATTTACATTTAGCTATTTTCTTTTTCTAGACAATCTATTATTATTTAAAAAGAGAAATGAAAATAAGAAATTTGATCACAATTAAATGGGATTCAAGGAATCTTTTGCAACACATCATTTCTTATTAACCTGAGTTTTAGTGAAGGACCAAATGTAGTTTGGTGCTGTAAAAACAAAATCCTTTTTTTTTGAGACAGAGTCTCGCTCTGTCGCCCAGGCTGGAGTGCAGTGGCACGATCTCGGCTCACTGCAAGCTCGGCTTTCCGGGTTCACGCCATTCTCCTGCCTCAGCCTCCCGCTTAGCTGGGATTACAGGCACCCGCCACAGCACCCAGCTAATTTTTTGTATTTTTATTAGAGACGGGGTTTCACCATGGTCTCGATCTCCTGACCTCGTGATCCGCCCTCCTCGGCCTCCCAAAGTGCTGGGATTACAGGGGTGAGCCACCGCGCCCAGCCCCACCAATTAACATTCTTAATAAATGGTTGAATCTAGGAATGAATGAATGGATAATCAGTTAGTTATGCAATATTCCTGAAGTTGGCAATGAAAAAAAAGAAAAAGATATAGTGTCCATGATAGTCATGAGCAGGGGCAATATTAAGTAATAGAATTTCATTTGGTTTTCACAGTGATGGAAATTGAATATGCTTAAGGAGAGTAGCGGATCTGAAGATGGTTGTGATGCGATTGTGAATGATGTCCTGAAAGGACTTAAAAGGTAAGATGGTAAGATTCAGAGCAAAAGAGCCATTAGCTTCAGCTGACTCTGCTGAGAATAGAGGTGTACAGCTGTTCCCCAAAATAAGCACAGTTACATGGGAAGGTGATTTGAGAGTGTACTTTGCCTTGTCTCCAACTTCACATGAGCAGCCATAAGCTTGTACTTGGGGAGGGGGGTAACAAAAGTGTAAAATGAAAGCTTTTAAAAGATCCCTTAAATACTAATGCTAAAGTTTTTTTGAAATATCTCTAAAACTCAGTTGCCAAAACGTCCTTAGAAATAGTTCACACGGGGGGGAGGAGCCAAGATGGCCGAATAGGAACAGCTCCGGTCTACAGCGTGAGCGACGCAGAAGACGGGTGATTTCTGCATTTCCATCTGAGGTACCGGGTTCATCTCACTAGGGAGTGCCAGACAGTGGGCGCAGGTCAGTGGGTGCGCGCACCGTGCGCGACCCGAAGCAGGGCGAGGCATTGCCTCACTTGGGAAGCGCAAGGGGTCAGGGAGTTCCCTTTCTGAGTCAAAGAAAGGGGTGACAGACGGCACCTGGAAAATCGGGTCACTCCCACCCGAATACTGCGCTTTTCCGACCGGCTTAAAAAACAGCGCACCACGAGATTATATCCGGCACCTGGCTCGCAGGGTCCTACGCCCACGGAGTCTCCCTGATTGCTAGCACAGCAGTCTGAGATCAAACTGCAAGGCGGCAGCGAGGCTGGGGGAGGGGCGCCCGCCATTGCCCAGGCTTGCTTAGGTAAACAAAGCAGCCGGGAAGCGCGAACTGGGTGGAGCCCACCACAGCTCAAGGAGGCCTGCCTGCCTCTGTAGGCTCCACCTCTGGGGGCAGGGCACAGACAAACAAAAAGACAGCAGTAACCTCTGCAGACTTAAATGTCCCTGTCTGAGAGCTTTGAAGAGAGCAGTGGTTCTCCCAGCACGCAGCTGGAGATCTGAGAATGGGCAGACTGCCTCCTCAAGTGGGTCCCTGACCCCTGACCCCCGAGCAGCCTAACTGGGAGGCACCCCCCAGAAGGGGCACACTGACACCTCACACGGCAGGGTATTCCAACTGACCTGCAGCTGAGGGTCCTGTCTGTTAGAAGGAAAACTAACAAACAGAAAGGACATCCACACCAAAAACCCATCTGTACATCACCATCATCAAAGACCAAAAGTAGATAAAACCACAAAGATGGGGAAAAAAGAGAACAGAAAAACGGGAAACTCTAAAACGCAGAGCACCTCTCCTCCTCCAAAGGAACGCAGTTCCTCACCAGCAACAGAACAAAGCTGGATGGAGAATGACTTTGACGAGCTGAGAGAAGAAGGCTTCAGACGATCAAATTACTCTGAGCTACGGGAGGACATTCAAACCAAAGGCAAAGAAGTTGAAAACTTTGAAAAAAATTTAGAAGAATGTATAACTAGAATAACCAATACAGAGAAGTGCTTAAAGGAGCTGATGGAGCTGAAAACCAAGGCTCGAGAACTACGTGAAGAATGCAGAAGCCTCAGGAGCCGATGCGATCAACTGGAAGAAAGGGTATCAGTGATGGAAGATGAAATGAATGAAATGAAGCGAGAAGGGAAGTTTAGAGAAAAAAGAATAAAAAGAAATGAGCAAAGCCTCCAAGAAATATGGGACTATGTGAAAAGACCAAATCTCCGTCTGATTGGTGTACCTGAAAGTGATGGGGAGAATGGAACCAAGTTGGAAAACACTCTGCAGGATATTATCCAGGAGAACTTCCCCAATCTAGCAAGGCAGGCCAACGTTCAGATTCAGGAAATACAGAGAACGCCACAAAGATACTCCTCGAGAAGAGCAACTCCAAGACACATAATTGTCAGATTCACCAAAGTTGAAATGAAGGAAAAAATGTTAAGGGCAGCCAGAGAGAAAGGTCGGGTTACCCTCAAAGGGAAGCCTATCAGACTATCAGCGGATCTCTCAGCAGAAACCCTGCAAGCCAGAAGAGAGTGGGGGCCAATATTCAACATTCTTAAAGAAAAGAATTTTCAACCCAGAATTTCATATCCAGCCAAACTAAGCTTCATAAGTGAAGGAGAAATAAAATACTTTACAGACAAGCAAATGCTGAGCGATTTTGTCACCACCAGGCCTGCCCTAAAAGAGCTCCTGAAGGAAGCGCTAAACATGGAAAGGAACAACCGGTACCAGCTGCTGCAAAATCATGCCAAAATGTAAAGACCATCGAGACTAGGAAGAAACTGCATCAACTAACGAGCAAAATAACGAGCTAACATCATAATGACAGGATCAAATTCACACATAACAATATTAACTTTAAATGTAAATGGACTAAATGCTCCAATTAAAAGACACAGACTGGCAAATTGGATAAAGAGTCAAGGCCCATCAGTGTGCTGTATTCAGGAAACCCATCTCACGTGCAGAGACACACATAGGCTCAAAATAAAAGGATGGAGGAAGATCTACCAAGCCATGGAAAACAAAAAAAGGCAGGGGTTGCAATCCTAGCCTCTGATAAAACAGACTTTAAACCAACAAAGATCAAAAGAGACAAAGAAGGCCATTACATAATGGTAAAGGGATCAATTAAACAAGAAGAGCTAACTATCCTAAATATATATGCACCCAATACAGGAGCACCCAGATTCATAAAGCAAGTCCTGAGTGACCTACAAAGAGACTTAGACTCCCACACATTAATAATGGGAGACTTTAACACCCCACTGTCAACATTAGACAGATCAACGAGACAGAAAGTCAACAAGGATACCCAGGAATTGAACTCAGCTCTGCACCAAGCGGACCTAATAGACATCTACAGAAGTCTCCACGCCAAATCAACAGAATATACATTTTTTTCAGCACCACACCACACCTATTCCAAAATTGACCACATACTTGGAAGTAAAGCTCTCCTCAGCAAATGTAAAAGAACAGAGATTATAACAAACTATCTCTCAGACCACAGTGCAATCAAACTGGAACTCAGAATTAAGAATCTCACTCAAAACCGCTCAACTACATGGAAACTGAACAACCTGCTCCTGAATGACTACTGGATACATGACGAAATGAAGGCAGAAATAAAGATGTTCTTTGAAACCAACGAGAACAAAGACACAACATACCAGAATCTCTGGGATGCATTCAAAGCAGTGTGTAGAGGGAAATTTATAGCACTAAATGCCCACAAGAGAAAGCAGGAAAGATCCAAAATTGACACCCTAACATCACAATTAAAAGAACTAGAAAAGCAAGAGCAAACACATTCAAAAGCTAGCAGAAGGCAAGAAATAACTAAAATCAGAGCAGAACTGAAGGAAATAGAGACACAAAAAACCCTTCAAAAAATTAATGAATCCAGGAGCTGGTTTTTTGAAAGGATCAACAAAATTGATAGACCGCTAGCAAGACTAATAAAGAAAAAGAGAAGAATCAAATAGACACAATAAAAAATGATAAAGGGGATATCACCACCGATCCCACAGAAATACAAACTACCATCAGAGAATACTACAAACACCTCTATGCAAATAAACTAGAAAATCTAGAAGAAATGGATAAATTCCTCGACACATACACTCTCCCAAGACTAAACCAGGAAGAAGTTGAATCTCTGAATAGACCAATAACAGGAGCTGAAATTGTGGCAATAATCAATAGTTTACCAACCAAAAAGAGTCCAGGACCAGATGGATTCACAGCCGAATTCTACCAGAGGTACAAGGAGGAACTGGTACCATTCCTTCTGAAACTATTCCAATCAATAGAAAAAGAGGGAATCCTCCCTAACTCATTTTATGAGGCTAGCATCATTCTAATACCAAAGCCGGGCAGAGACACAACCAAAAAAGAGAATTTTAGACCAATATCCTTGATGAACATTGATGCAAAAATCCTCAATAAAATACTGGCAAAATGAATCCAGCAGCACATCAAAAAGCTTATCCACCATGATCAAGTGGGCTTCATCCCTGGGATGCAAGGCTGGTTCAATATACGCAAATCAATAAATGTAATCCAGCATATAAACAGAGCCAAAGACAAAAACCACATGATTATCTCAATAGATGCAGAAAAGGCCTTTGACAAAATTCAACAACCCTTCATGCTAAAAACTCTCAATAAATTAGGTATTGATGGGACGTATTTCAAAATAATAAGAGCTATCTATGACAAACCCACAGCCAATATCATACTAAATGGGCAAAAACTGGAAGCATTCCCTTTGAAAACTGGCACAAGACAGGGATGCCCTCTCTCACCACTCCTATTCAACATAGTGTTGGAAGTTCTGGCCAGGGCAATTAGGCAGGAGAAGGAAATAAAGGGTATTCAATTAGGAAAAGAGGAAGTCAAATTGTCCCTGTTCGCAGACGACATGACTGTATATCTAGAAAACCCCATTGTCTCAGCCCAAAATCTCCTTAAGCTGATAAGCAACTTCAGCAAAGTCTCAGGATACAAAATCAACGTGCAAAAATCACAAGCATTCTTATACACCAACAACAAACAGAGAGCCAAATCATGAGTGAACTCCCATTCACAATTGCTTCAAAGAGAATAAAATACCTAGGAATCCAACTTACAAGGGATGTGAAGGACCTCTTCAAGGAGAACTACAAACCACTGCTCAAGGAAATAAAAGAGGATACAAACAAATGGAAGAACATTCCATGCTCATGGGTAGGAAGAATCAATATCATGAAAATGGCCATACTGCCCAAGGTAATTTACAGATTCAATGCCATCCCCATAAAGCTACCAATGACTTTCTTCACAGAATTGGAAAAAACTACTTTAAAGTTCATATGGAACCAAAAAAAGAGCCCGCATCGCCAAGGCAATCCTAAGCCAAAAGAACGAAGCTGGAGGCATCACACTACCTGACTTCAAACTATACTACAAGGCTACAGTAACCAAAACAGCATGGTACTGGTACCAAAACAGAGATATAGATCAATGGAACAGAACAGAGCCCTCAGAAATAACGCCGCATATCTACAACTATCTGATCTTTGACAAACCTGAGAAAAACAAGCAATGGGGAAAGGATTCCCTATTTAATAAATGGTGCTGGGAAAACTGGCTAGCCATATGTAGAAAGCTGAAACTGGATCCCTTTCTTACACCTTATACAAAAATCAATTCAAGATGGATTAAAGACTTAAACGTTAGACCTAAAACCATAAAACCCTAGAAGAAAACCTAGGCATTACCATTCGGGATATAGGCATGGGCAAGGACTTCATGTCCAAAACACCAAAAGCAATGGCAACAAAAGACAAAATTGACAAATGGGATCTAAGTAAACTAAAGAGCTTCTGCACAGCAAAAGAAACTACCATCAGTGTGAACAGGCAACCTACAAAATGGGAGAAAATTTTCGCAACCTACTCATCTGACAAAGGGCTAATATCCAGAATCTACAATGAACTCAAACAAATTTACAAGAAAAAAACAAACAACCCCATCAAAAAGTGGGCGAAGGACATGAACAGACACTTCTCAAAAGAAGACATTTATGCAGCCAAAAAACACATGAAAAAATGCTCATCATCACTGGCCATCAGAGAAATGCAAATCAAAACCACAATGAGATACCATCTCACACCAGTTAGAATGGCAATCATTAAAAAGTCAGGGAACAACAGGTGCTGGAGAGGATGTGGAGAAATAGGAACACTTTTACACTGTTGGTGGGACTGTAAACTAGTTCAACCGTTGTGGAAGTCAGTGTGGTGACTCCTCAGGGATCTAGAACTAGAAATACCATTTGACCCAGCCATCCCATTACTGGGTATATACCCAAAGGACTATAAATCATGCTGCTATAAAGACACATGCACATGTATGTTTATTGCGGCATTATTCACAATAGCAAAGACTTGGAACCAACCCAAATGTCCAACAATGATAGACTGGATTAAGAAAATGTGGCACATATACACCATGGAATACTATGCAGCCATAAAAAATGATGAGTTCATGTCCTTTGTAGGGACATGGATGAAATTGGAAATCATCATTCTCAGTAAACTATCGCAAGAACAAAAAACCAAACACCGCATATTCTCGCTCATAGGTGGGAATTGAACAATGAGATCACATGGACACAGGAAGGGGAATATCACACTCTGGGGACTGTTGTGGGGTGGGGGGAGGGGGGAGGGATAGCACTGGGAGATATACCTAATGCTAGATGACAAGTTAGTGGGTGCAGCGTACCAGCATGGCACATGTATACATATGTAACTAACCTGCACAATGTGCACATGTACCCTAAAACTTAAAGTATAATAAAAAAATAAATAAAAAAAAAAAAAAAAAAAAAGAAATAGTTCACACGAAGGACTTGTAGAGTCTTGAAGTTTATAGGGGTATGTTTGCCTCTAAGTCCAAGTGCAAACATCAAAAACTGTGGCAATGAGCTTTCACTAGTATGTTTGATAACTGTAGGAATTTCTACTTTAAAAGAACATACTAGATTGTCTCAAATTATTTATATTTGTTCATAATTCTAGAGATATTTTATTGCAAAAAAATCAGAAGGTGAAGGATCATGAAATTCAAATCATAAGCTTTTCTTCTTTTATTTAAATTATTGATAAATTGGATATTCACTTTGAGTTGAGCTTAAACTTTTTAGAACTTCTATATTCTCATCTATAAAATCAGGATTAGAAAAAGTCTAGAGCCTCATGAACTATTAGCTTTTACATGATAACCACGACTATCAATAGACATTGTCCAGGGAATTCTCTCAGTAATCCCCAAATATGACAAGAACATGTGTCCTATAACCCTTTCAACTCACAGATGAGAAAAGTGACCTATAAATGATTTAAGGTACATGATTTAGGTATAAATAGCTATGGGGAAAATGAGAGCACCTGTAATATCTTTCAGGGATTTAATATTGCAATTTAATGAAATAATTATGAATATGTATTTAAATGGAATATACATATTTTGAAGAGATCAGACCTCACTGTTTTGCCCAGGCTGGTCTTGAACTCCTGGGCTCAAGGGGTCCTCCTGCCTCAGCCCCCCAAAGTGCTAGGATTACAAGTATGAGTTACCGTGCCTGGCTTTAAATGGAATATTATTAAAGAAACATATCTGAGGCATGTTTTCTCTGGGCTTTGTGGTCTCTAAAGTACCTACACAGAATTGAGACATGAAGATCTGGCCATTGACTAATGTAATGAATCACTTTAAATAAATGGATGACATATTGGTAGAATTAAACTTTTTGATAAAACTCTTTATTTACTTAGTACGTTACATGCAGTATACATATTTTACTATAGTGCACATTATATATATATAAAATATGTAAGTAATATATAGTAAAAAATTATGTTATATATATAATGCACTCTATAGTAAAAAAGTATAATGTGCACTATAGTAATAAATATAAAATATATTTATATTGAATATATATATAAAATGTGCAATATAGTAAAACATGTATATTACACATAATGTACAAAGGATTTATTTCCTTTATATTCACAAAAGATTCTGGATATTTCATCATAAATATTTAGCTCCAAATTCCCTGAGAATTTTAATATTTAATAGAAATTTTATAGATATAAAATTTAATAGAAATTTTGTATCTTGAATTTTTATTTTAAATCATGTGGAATATATAAGGAGAAACTGGATTAATTAAAATGGCCCAAAGTAGGACATCACCTCTATGATCTGTAAACAAGGCAGAGAAAAGCAGGGAAGAATAAAGACTGTACCAACTGTCAAGATCGGAACGATAGCATGTAACAGAATCAGAAAATGATGTATTTATTTTAAAAACAGACTAAACATATATTTTAAGCATGATATCATGATGGAACTGACTAAAGCTAGGTCAGTGTCAAACACTGACATAATGGTTCCTGTCACAGGATATTTGACCTTAGAGAACATTTGAGCACTTACCAAGGATATGAACCCACCTTGAAAGTCCCATGGTGAGATGTGTGTGATTAACACTAGGACTTTGTAATTTAACTGGAAATGGATTTTAATCAGGTGGTAATATTATGGGTCACACTCAAATGCTCTCGTATAAGAAAGTTTAGAAAGATTTAGACTTTTTTCTCTATAGTAGGTACAGATCATAGATTCTATCTTGGACCAGCATGTCTCTTGGGTGCTTGGTAGACATTGCTGCTCTTCTGATAGATAGAGAAAATGAGGTTACAAAATTGCTCTACTATCACTTACTCTTAGATGGAACAGGTAAAAATCCTTGGGGAAATCATGTTAATGGGCTATAGGCTTTCCAGAATTTAGCTATATGCTTGGAAAAAGAGTTAGAATGCAAACTTTAGATTTGAGCAATACCCCCGTTTCATTTCTTATAATAGCACTGTGGTTTGGTGAGATATTTTTAAATTTGGAAAAGCAGAGCCGTAAAATATGCCTTTTTAAAGAAATGTATTCACTGAAAAGCAATTTATTTTCCTCGAAACATAACACATTTATGTATATGAGCATCATGAGAAGTTGATATTGGTACTCAATATAGACTTTTTGATAAAGGGAGGCTTTGAGATAGATAAAGTTTCTTCTTGCTGATCAAGACAAATTCTCATCTTGCAAGAGCATGAGGGCATGTTTAAATTCTATAAACAATACAATACAGAAAGAACAAAAAGAAATTTGTTGAGCAAGAGAGGTGAAATAAACAAACTAATAAAAATGAGGGAAACATGTAAACATTTACAACCTGTTTACAACTTCCTCTTAAAACTGCTTGTCCAAGCTCATTCATTACATTAACAGAAAAAGGACAGAGACCATGCTCTTGTCATCTGTCTAACGTGAAAATTCATTAGCATATCATTAGCATGTGGCAAAGTTTAAATTTTCCACTTATAAGCACATAGCTTGGGTGGGCTTTCAGCACACCAGCAATCTGTTCAGAAATTGTGTGAACATTGGTGTATTTAAATTCCTGAACTATTCTTTCCTGAAATATTCTTTACCAGTAAAGCTCATGAACATAGAACACCCATTCCCACTGACTGTGGAAGACAGTCGGCCTCCTTAAATCCTTCAGTTAAGGACATACAATGAAATGCCTCGTTAAGAACCTTAATTTAAAGCAGCACACAGTTCTGTATGTCAGAGGTAATAATTACCTTCTTTAATGAGCCTGACTTTTCTCTGTGATGAGTAAGACTCCCTCCACTTTGTTTATAGTAACTCTGGATTTATTTCAGGCTTTCTTCAAGTGCTCTTATTTTAAAAAAATAAAAATTTTGTCTGTTTTTCTGGGGTCAAATTCTGCCTACTCTATACTGAAACCATGTGCTGTTCAAGCACTGCTAAGACCAATTACCCATATATTCCTGGGACATGCAGGGGCCTATAGAAGTCATATCATCCATATCCCAGCTTCTAAGCAGAGCTACAGATAAATTATGTCAACCTGAAAAGGCCCTACCCTATGATTTTAAATAACTTCCATGTGAACTATAGCTATCCAAAATGTCCCAGCAAATTAAACAATAAAATTGAAAAGCTCTTGAACAAATTGATTTTATAGATATCTATTATAATCTTAAGAATTTAAGATCTATGTTTGCAGGCTGAGGAGGGCTTGAAGAGTTATACTCAAGTATATGAGAAGTTATGTGGTGACTTGCTTTAATTATAATATTGGGCATTTCTTGGTTTCCTCCAATATAGTTTGATCTTTCCCCTATCTTATCAGCTACCCATAACATGCTTCCCAAAATCGATATGCATTTCATATGAAATAATTGAGAACTGTTTCAGCTTTTAGATGTTGAAGAATTTAAATCACATAACATAGTCCCTTCAACTTACAGACAGGAAACAAATAAAGAAACACTAAATGGTTCCTCTAAGGTCATACAGTATTTATGTGAAAGAAGAAGAAGTTGAACTTAGCTAGTATTTGGTATATGAGTCTAAATCTTTCTAGTCTATTTAAGTCTGCCCTTTGTTTCTGGATAAAGAGAGCCAATTATACTTTCTAGTGTTTTGTGAGATATGTACTATTGCATAAGGTTCATTTCATAGAGATGTTTTATGATTTTACAATTTGAAACTACTAGCTAGGGTTATTAATTTCTTGTTAATCCTATCCTAGCACCCAGTCAGGCTGAGATTCACAAAGGTTTGGAGTTGGAAAAAAAAACCTTAGAGATCCCGTATAGAGACATTTTTTGAACTGTAAGGCAGTTTCACTAGTAGTCCTTAACTCAGGGACCACAGAAGAACCAAGCCATAGGCTTGCCTATGTCACATAGTGAGCCAGAGATGGTCTGGATTAGCACTAGTACCACCAATACCCAGTACGGTTCCTTTTTCACTCTAAAGAAGACTTCTTAGGACAAGAATCTTGACACTTTCTCAGTTTATATTTTTCAAGTGAAAATGGAATTGCAAAATTGGACCATAATTTGCATTAAAGTCACCCTAAGCCCTTAGCCCCTGTAGCTGGATGCAGGAGCAGCAGAACGTGTCAGCATGGATTTGTCTTCTTCTGTTTCTTTGGTGTCCTTCCTTACAGTCAACCACTGAAAAGTTTCTACATGGAGAGATAGTTTGTTCTTGAAGCCCCTTGAACTGGCACCATCCTTTCCAATATTTTCTCTGGTTCTTTCATGTAAGTGTTATATCAACTTTTGAAAGAGTGTTGGTCTGTTAATCATTTCTTCTACTACTAGAAAATTAAACAACATCTTTAAATCTCTTGGGTCTACAGTCTTTAGTTATTTTAACATTTAATACAGAAACTAGGACAATTCTACCCCTAAAACATCTTATTTTCAAATCTACTTGCTTCTGTTTCCAAAGTTCAAATAAAATATAGAGAAAAACCTAAATGGAAAGGTTCCTGTTTGTCATGGCTATGGCTAATCTGGCTATGTATTTAGAGCTTATGAACTGTGCCTGTAGGGCAAGGATGCAAAAAGTTAGGATTTCAGAAAGCCCCCAAGACACACAGCCAAATCTGTAATGTTTAATGAGATCACCTCCAGATGTAACTAACATTAGGAATGTCCAGTTGTGCAATATTATTTCTTTTATTAGCAGGTAATTTAGGCTTCTGAGCAAATTAACAAAATCAGCAGAATAGTCAATATTGAGTTGGGCTATCACTGGTACACTTAAGAAAGAGCTCTTCTGAATTTTAGGAGTTAGCACCTATTCAAAAATAAAGTATAGATTTGTCATTTTTATTTTTTCTTATCCAGTTCCCAGGCACTGGGAGAATGAATGGGATGACAGAAAATAATACAGACCTGAATTTGATAGAACCATGTTTGAAACCCAACTTTGTTGTTTCTAGCTATTATACTTTAGGAAACTCCTCTCAACCATATTTTTCCATCTATAAATTTGGAATCAATATGCAGTCTATAAGATTGCTGTGAAGAACAAAGTAGATAATTGACATGAAAAGGTCAAATACAATACTTGGCATGTGGGAGAGGCTGTTTCAGAAAGCGTGGCCCAAGATTAACTAAAGAAAAAGTGGTGATATGTATAATACTAACAATTGAAATATCTATGGTAACCTTTGTTTCTCCAAAAATGGGATGTTCATAACTCTAAAGAAAAAGTATCAACCCCAGAATTTTGGTTTCTTATTTACAAGGATTTTGAAGGCAGCAGAGCCAAGTTATATAAACTCCTCCAGAGATTTTTGTCTGGTTTTTTAAACTTGTTTATCTGAGACTATATCTGATTGAATTGTCATAATTTTAGATTGTATATTAAACCTGAAGAAATTTAAAATAGATACACTAAAATTCCATTCCAATCTCTAAGTTAGAATCATTCAACACCATCAAGTGCTTGGAACATTCATTTCAACACTTGGCCCCAGCTCAGCAGGGCCTGGACTCGCAATCACCCTAAGCTTTATGAATTAGAGCCAAATAAGGCATTAAAGAATCCCAAATACTCAGTCTTGGGTAAAAAATGGTGGTTATCAGTGTACAAATGTGACTCCATGTATCTCTAACATCTATATTACTTCAGTGAAACAGCAACAATCACATTAATACAAAACACAATCTAGAAATACCTCAATATTTATTAAAACAACACAAACAACAATAAATTTTGTAAGACTTTAGCCATAGCACTTGACATATGATAGAGGTCATGCTCATAAGTAGTTACTTTAGAAACTGTTAATCCCTTTTCGCAACCAGTCACAGGAAAGCCAGTAAGATTCATTAACCATTAAAGCTTCAGCAACTGATTTTACTACACCATTTTCAGAAAGAGCAGGCTGGATAGAATCAGCATAACTAACTTCCTAAGTTAATCCATATATTCAATGCAACAGAATTTTTTCCTAGAACTTGACAACCTTATCTTAATGTTTATACGAAAGAGCTAAAAGGCTACAAATGATCAATTCTATTTTGAAGGCAAAAAGGGTAAGGGATTCATCCTATCAGATACACAATGTTTTAGAAGGACCAGGAGGAAGGGGAGGTAAAAGAGGAAAAACTCATGTAACTATGACAATGTATATTAGTGCAGGGCTAGGGAAACAGAGCAGAGAAACAGAACAAAGTGCCCAAGGATGTTTATATAGAAAATACGATTTAGTATTCAGAATAAAAAAAATCTTACAAATCTATGGACAAAACCCAGTGCAAACATTTCAAACTCTCTTGTTATAAATGAAATGAATATTTAAAACACAATGATCTAACTCTTCACACTCATCAGACTGACCAATATTAAAAGTTACTTAAAAGTGCTAGGATATGGAGAAAGAGAAGAAATTGTCAATAGCTAGTAAAGCTGAAGATGGGTATAACCTACAGCCAAGAATGCCACACTTGGAAAAACCTTCTACATGTGAATGTAAGAAAACATACACAAGAATATTCATTGCATCATTGGCTGTGATTAGGGAATAGACTTAGGAACAAGATGACCTGAACATCAATCCTGGTACCAATCCTTATTAACTCTGTGAATTCAGGCAAGTTACCAACCTCTCTGTGCTGTAGTTTCCTCATGAGTGAAACAGCCTCACAGCTATTGTAAGGATTAAGTGAGTTCATACAAATGGAGCATTAAAAATAGTCTTTAAATTTAATGTTTACTATTGTTTAATTATATTTATTTAACATATACTTGTTATTCCAAGTTTACTAACCTACCACAATAGGAAATGATTCTATTTCCAAATCAGAACTTCATTCTTCCAAGCTACACTAGGTCACATGGAAATCACTGTTCTTCAAGCCTTCAAACCTCATTTCAGCTGCGGAAAAATTTCCTCAACAAAAGCTTAAGCAGAGGAAGGTAATGGGGTCTAGGATAAACCTGATCTTTCAGAAGTCAGCATGACATGGTTAATCTCCATCATGGTACCCAGATTTCAAGGGTTAGTAGAAATAAGCAAAATTAAAGAAAACCAGATGCACCAAATTCTAAACCTAAGAACTGGGGAGACTAGGGAATGCTCACGTTTTTGAAAGGAAGCCCTCTAATTCCAATAAAGTGTAGTTCCCCCACTTTAATTCAAATTACGATTTGGTTTACAACAAATACACACACATACACAGCTTGCTGAAATTTTTTAGAAAATGTACAATGTAATGAAGTGATTTTTGTACTTGAAATCTTTATTTTATAATCACAAAAGTGATAGGAAAATTAAAAATATTAAAAACACAGACTTACAAAGAGTCAAAAAATTAAAAATTATCTTAGCCTCTTTCCTTCACTCTAATGATTTCTTTCCCTGACATTTTATACACACACACACACACACACACACACACATACACACACGCATACCCCACAGGGTATTTTAAAAGCACATGAGATTGCAATATTCATTACATATGCATAAGACCAATTTTAGTTTCATTCTTTCTTATCCATGTGTATATCCAATTATCCCAATATCATTTATTAAATGACTTCCCACTGACTTAAAATGCTATTTTTATTACAGTTGTAGTTTTTTTCCTGGAATCTAGTCTATTCTATTGATCTATTAGTCTATGCCAGTGCCAAAAACCACATAATTTGATTTACTATAGTTTTATATTACATTTTGATGTCTGTAGAAAAAGTTCTCCTTCACTCCTCCTTTAAAATTTTTCTTGGCCATTACTATGGTTTCTTTCCCTCACCTCATCTTTATGATTGACTTACAAAGTTCCATAAAGTATATTCTGGAGATTTAGATTGACACTTCTTTAAATTTATAGATTTATTTGCAAAAATGGGGTATTTTCAATATCCCAAGATACGCTGTAAGAAGAAAAAAGTGGATTACAAAAAATATATACCTTTCTTGAATATTGAATGTCAGAGAAAGGTAATTTTCTAAAGATAGATAAGTGAGGGTACTCATTTTTATTGTGAAATAGGAAGGAAAGGATAAAGTGAAAAATAAAGGCACAAACAATATGACGCATTATAGTTTAACTGATTCGATTTTGAGGCATGTCTCTTTTACCCTGTCTGGACCAAAATTTTCTCATCTGTTAAATAAGAAACTTGGACAGGATGAGGTCTAAGGCCATTTCCAGCTCTATAGTCTAAGATATTCTTACTTTAGACAGGACAAAAGCATGGGCCAAGACACATGCAGCTAAACACCAATCCAGACACACTTTGTGCGTGGCCATGCTTGCACCATATTCTGGGAAGAAAACAGACTTATTGCCCTGCCTACATTTGTGGATTAGTCAGCCAAACTGAAGGAAGGCATTGTCCATCTAATTTTTCACTAGAGAATGTTGAGGCTCAGCAGAATTAAGCAAATTTTCCAAGATCACACAGGTAACAAGTGGCAGAATGTCACTTCAATACTAGATGTGTGATTCCAAGGTTGATTTTGTTCCTGCTGTGTAAAGCAATTCTGAGTGCTTGGTGAGGCAACAATAGAATAAATGGGCAGGTAGATGTCTAAAAATTAAGAGATTAAGGGTATCACATTTCAACTATATATTATCTCCTGACTTCAAAGTAGAAAAATAAGCACTTGCTGAGAAAAAAATAGAACATATTTAGAATTGACCTTTTAAAAATCATCATCGAGACTAGATGTCAGAAGAATTACTTTTAAAAATCAGTGACTTAAGACTGACTTAAACTGACTTCAAGTCTCTAAGGATGAAGACAACAGGAGAAATCATTTTGTACTCTGTTATACCAAATAATACGACCAATAAAATGAGTGTTATCAATATCTTCTACCCTAACTAGCATCTATTGTACTATCTAGCCTATTTATAATAGCACCATGAATGGTAGCTTTTAAAGAATTATTTCCGTAAAACCAATACGTAAAAGAACTATGTTAATAGTAAGAGTTTATATTTACTGTATATGCAGCGTATGCCACGTGTTGTTCAAGTTTTTTACAGATTGCATAGTTAAAGCAGTTTGCACTCTGCCCTTCACCTAGACAGCAGTGTGTGTATTTAAATGCAGGCAACCCAGCCCCCAAACCCGAGATCACTGTGCTCTCACCAAGTAAATTTAATGAACTTCTGGGGAAGAAGAAGAAGAAGAACAAGAAGAAGAGGAAGAGGAAGAAGAAGAGAAACAGGAAGGGGAGGAGAGGGAGGAGGAGGAAGAGGAGGAAGAGAATAGGTCAAGTCACAGTGCACAGTAGGTACTGAATACTCTTCTAAGCTCCTTTAACATATTAACTTCTAACAACCCTTTGAAGTCCAGTCACTGCCTAATTCCTTAGAAGCTGTGTGATATTGGGAGAAGTAACTAACATAACTGAGTTTGACATTAGAAACAAGAATGGTAATACTTAACACAGAGTTTCTGTAAGGTTTAAATGAGTGAATTCATTTGAAAGTATGCAGCACGTAACTGCTCAATAAATGCTTCCGGTTTTTGCCTTTCTGTACAATATTTTCCATGTAATTTCAGAAAATTTCATTGTCCCCATGTAAAAGAGTAACTTCATGGATCTGAATATTTAAGAGCACCAGAGTTTTCAAATTCATAATTCAATCTAAAAAATCTAATTTGTTCGACTCACTTTTACCTCCTTCTTAATAGTTTGTTTAATAGTTCCTTCTCTCCAACACATTAGGCTAAAAAATATGAGTATCTGTACACCCCACCTCTAAAGTCCCTTTCCAAATAGAAAAATACTTATAAATCTGAAATCAAAGTGATCTTGTGAGAAAAAAGAGGATTCTATTACAGTTTACACACAGTTTACACTTATATAATCATCCACTGATGTTAGTTAGGCTCATGCTAGACCAAGAGTCGCAGAATTTTAGGGCTGGAAGAAATCTGACTTACCTGTACAATAGCTGCATTTTACATATAAGAAAAGTAAATTTCAGAGAAGGTAAGTGGGTTGTCTAACATCACTGAATAGCTTGGGAGGCTCGCCAAGGGCCACAGCCCAGTCCTGTGTCCTGTAAGCATCGAATATGTTGACAAATTTAGTTACTTGGGCATGAAGTGCATGTCATCACACCATGCCCTCTCAGCATTGTTGGTACCAGCTGAACAATTATTAGACAGTTGTCATTACCAAGAATAGGTGGTCTTTGGCCTAGAGTTGTACTCAAACATTGTTTTTTGTTTGTTTGTTTGTTTGTTGAGACAGAGTCTTGCTGTGTCACCCAGGCTGGAGTGCAGTGGTGCCATCTGGGCTCTCTGCAACCTCTGCCTCCCGGGTTCAACCAATTCTCGTGCCTCAGCCTCCCTAGTAGCTGAGACTACAGGCGTGCACCACCATGCCTGGCTAATTTTTGTATTTTTAGTAGAGATGGGGTTTTGCCATGTTGGCCAGGCTGATCTCAAACTCCTGACCTCAGGTGATCCACTCACCTCAGCCTCCCAGAGTGCTGGGATTACAGGTGTGAGCCACTGCACCCAGGCTCAAACATTGTTTTGTAAAGTGATAGGCTATCAGATGCAGAGTAAATATCATGTCATTTGTTCCCCTGTGCTGGCAAAAGGAGTTGAGAAGAGCAAATTGTTGTTATCTCTGCCAAAGAGGAGGAGAGACTTATTAAGAGACAGTAGTTCCTAGACATGCCCAGCAGGACATTTTTTTAAAATTATCTATACTTTCACCCACCTCATGATTTTGGAAAATGTGTGGAACAAACTACATAAGTGAATATATCCTTATATCCATTTGGTAGTTCTATGATCCACCAATAATGAGAATGCCTCAAATCTCCCATTTCAAGTTTTCACTTAAAAGTTTGAAGTCTTCAGATGTTTCAATAGTCCAAAGTCTTAAGAAGTTTCGGAAGCTCAAGTTGGGATCTCTGTTCCTATGAATACCTTACGTTAAAAATGGGATCTGACGTTCAAATATGTTTTACCCCATTTTGTGCATAAAAATGTTCAGGCAAACCCAAATACACTAGAACAACACTCTAAGATGAATTTAATATCTTTTTATGTTCTTAACTAAGGTTTTAGGAAAATGTGATTGTTTCTCACCAATTGTAAGATGCAGCATCAGTGAGAAAGACTGAGGCTGAAAATTCAGTTGGCAAACTTTCACAAAGTTTGGAAGTGTGAAGCAGAGCTGTTTGAGCGCAGGAGGTCTTTTAGATGTAGGGAGTATCTGGATTGATCGATTTCAGAGAGAAATAAAAATGAACAATCCCATGTGTGCCTACGGTAGCAAGCATGTCATACACAGTTTCATTTAGTACAGACTGAAGGTCTCAAAGTAGGTATCAATGACCTGATACAATGAGAGACTTTAAGAAACATGTCCAAGGGACAGAAAACTGTGTTTCATATGCTATTGTTTATATTTTTATGTGTTGAAATGAAAGCATGAACCAATATTTTCTTACATTGAAAATGAAAAGACAAACCAGAATTTTTTTAAAAGGACATCTAAAGGTGAAAGGTAGTGGAAACAGGCATAGAAAGATACAGGGGTAGAAGCTAGACCTCTCTGAATATACCTTGCTCTGTAGAATTTACTTTGGAACCACGTAAATAGGTAAATAGTTCACATAATCATAAACCAAAATTAAATGTTAAAAAGTAATTTGTAATATCCAAAGCCAAATAAAATAAGTTAATTTAAATATGTGTCAAATTGACACCAATAGAAAAAGGGGGATTTTTTCAAGTGACTTTAAGACATAGTATATGACTACACATCCCTAGTGCGAGAGATCCTGTGGGCAAATATAACCACGAAAAAAATCTGTTTTTGCTAAGCATAGTGTGAGCGGTAGTATTGGTATTGCTATTCTGAGACTGTTATGCATGGATTATGTAATACGTCAATTAAGTATGTTGGCATTATTGAGAACTGGAATTTTCACTGTGACTTGGAGATATAATATTGAATGAGGGCAGGTAAAAATTCAGAATCCTGAATTTGATTAGGAAAGATCAGTATAAACTTATTATGCATTTTACCTTAGAATTGTTTACCTAGCACAATCTACTGAAAATGCCTAGAAACTATTAGGTAGCAACAAGCACCATTAGTGCCCAACACTATTTTGCACTAAAAGAAACCAGTTTTCTTCTGAGAAATGACTGATACCAAGCCTAGAGCAAGAAATGTGCAAAATGAGCCTGAAATATTTTGTACATTACAAAGAAAGCTACCAAAGACTTTTAAGGGCGTGTCAAGAAAACTCAGGAGCTAACTTGAACAGACTCCTATATTAGCCAAAGAGACTTTTGAGGCATTGATAGGATAATAACTAAATCTGACTGCAATTGGCTTAAGGTGTTGCCAAAGGCATCAGATATATTTAAACAAATGTGTTCTTAACAATACAAAAAGAACTAGTTGGATATCTCTGGAGGATGATGATATGGAACCAACCAATTATTTTGAAAACTATTAAATAAAGAGAAAGACTCAAGCATTTATCCTGCCTTCCTCTTCATACATATTTTTAGTATTCCAATTAATATAAGAATAAATTTCCATTTTAAACATGTAAATTAAATACAATAAGACTTTACATATGAACTAAAATTTGCATTTACCAAACAAAGCTATTACACCTTGCGATTCATATTTTGTTTCAGTCTTTTAACATTTAAGAACAAATAACTTCAAGCGGTTTAACAAAATGACAGAATTGATGGAATTAAAGTAACTTGTGTTCTGTGTATTCCTCTTTACAGTGACACTGATATGATTATTGATTTAGAATTAAGCACAGGACGATGTAGCACCAGAGGGATTGGAGACACAGACTACACCCAGCACAAGCTCTAATGAATCCAAAGTTTTGCGAACTTAGTCTCAAAATTAAAACATTTAGCCCAATTCTCGTGTGTGAAGCCAACTGTGTAACTGGACTTCTCTGAATTTACTTCTATGTAGAATAGCAGGTTTATTAAAGAATACATAATAAAAATGTGTGAAATTGAAGCCAAGATACATATTATTAAAACTCAGCAGTAACCACAGCAATTATTTAGAACTTAGTCCAACAGAAGATTTTCTTTTTCAGAGACATTATTTAGAATTAGCAACCTTAGTAATAATAAAAATATACCAGCTTTTAGTTAGTTTCAATATTGTTTTAAAATTCTCTTTAGGATTCAGATTACTGTGGGCAAAGCACCCCTTATTGCCTGCACCCAGAACAGGCCACTCCCACTGGCTCTACCCACAGTTGTTGCCACTGGATCTGGGCAACTGACTCCAACATCACAAGAGAGACAACCAGACATTATTCACCTACTAACTGAAATATGAGACCTTGTCCAAAAATAGTTCTTGCTAAAAACAGCAAATATAATCCAGCCTCCAGATTCAACTATAAAAGTGCAGGAAGTACAGAGTTCACAGAAATCAACCAGCAAAATCCAGACGGTAGGGAACCCACACAACAAATGACACAGATTTTTCTTTTTCTTTTTCTTTTTCTTTTTTTTTTTTGAGATGGAGTCTCGCTCCGTTGCCCAGGCTGGAGTGCAGTGGCGCCATCTCGGCTCATTGCAAGCTCCGCCACCCGTGTTCACGCCACTCTCCTGCCTCAGCCTCCCGAGTAGCTGGGACTACAGGCGCCCACCACCACGCCCGGCTAATTTTTTTGTATTTTTAGTAGAGACGGGGTTTCACCGTATTAGCCAGGATGGTCTCGATCTCCTGACCTCGTGATCCGCCCGTCTCGACACAGATTTTTCAACAAATATTGCAGAAGGAGAGAGGAGACTTAAGAGATACATCAACTGATGGCAAACTATGGTCTTATTTGAATCTTGATTCAACACTTTTAACAAATTATCTGAGACAATTGAGAAGATATAAACACTGACTAGCTATTTGATGGTATTAAAGCATCATTGTTAATTTTTACATGTGATAACGACATTACTTTTTAAAAAAATTTTAGACAGAGTCTAGTTCTGTCACTCATGCTGGAGTGCAGTGGTGCGATCTCAGCTCACTGCAACCTCCACCTCCTGGGCTTAAACCATCCTCCCATGTCAGCCTCCAAGTAGCTGGGACCACAGGCATACGCCACCATGCCTGGCTAATTTTTGGATTCTTAGTAGAGACAGGGTTTCACTGTATTAGCCAGGCTGGTCTCGAACTCCTAACCTCAAGTGATCTGCCTGCCTCGACTTCCCAAAATGCTGAGATTACAGACGTGAGCCAACACCCCAGACCCTGACATTACTCTTATGTTTAATAAAATAGCTCTTAAATGTTAGTGATAAATACTAGAGAATGATATAATATCTGATATTTGTTTTAAAATTATCTGACAGAATGGCAGCGAGTGCAAGTATAGATGAAACAAGATTACTATGAGTTAGAAACTATTGAAGTTGAGTGTCGTATAAATGGGACCTTATCATTTCACTCCATTTCGTACATACTGTATATGAAATTTTCTATTAGAAAATGTGAAAAAAACATTTCCAAAGATCACAAAGCTGATGGGAGATTTGAATGGTATGCAACTTGATTTCCTTTTATGGCAAGCAGAAGAAAAATTACAGAAATGAGGAAAGGTACTTGTTTCAGGAAGAGCTGAGTTAGCGGGAAAAGACAGGGCAATTAGCCTCACTCTTTACACCTGAGAAGGAACACTTCTTTGAAATGGGAGACATGGAAAGAAGAATATGTGAAGAAATCTGGATACTGGCACATGTATGTTCTACGGAAAGAGACGGAATGTGGGGATCTTGAAGGCCTTGAGCAATTAACAACTTTGCTTCTGAAGAAAAGTGAAAGGGCCTGAGCAGATGGCCTCCAAGTCTCTTTCTCCGCTTACTTCTACCATATTCTCTCACGTCAATGACAGAGAACAGAACCAGTACCTTTTCAATTTGACTTGCTGTTAATAATGAATTTGAAGGCCAGTAATTACTTTCATTGTTAACTGCTTTTTCTCTGTTTCTCACAATATCTGGTAAAATATGCTCTGAGAATCAGTTTTTCATAATTAGAGGTTCCATACTTGACCTGTAAATGATTCTTGTGTACTATTAAAGACTTGAAGTTACTACTTTACTTGGATAGTTGATAAAACCAGGCTTCACATCATTGTCAACTCATGAAATGGAAGGTCATTCTTGCAATAAATTCCAGTAAATTCTGATGGATTTTTCTTATGAGTAGTAGAAGGTGGTAAGGTTGGTTTTGTGGCAGGGATTTCGACCCTCAAATGTGGTCCTTTAGCTGCAAAAATTTAAGAACAGATGAAATATAGCTCTCATGTGGTAATATCTAGGGTGCCTGAGGCAAAGCTCACTGAGAAGATGGCCTGGCCGACTTGAGAATTCTGAATTCATTGCTTTCTATCTACAACAGCCGTGGGAAGCACAGGAAAGGCAGCACTATTTCTGCTCCACCAAAAATGTGTTTTGTAGCACTTCACCCCAGGATCATGGAGCGGAGTACTTATAGAGACTGACACTTCGATCATACATACATTGACACATCACATTGCATCACATCTCCTGAATTGAATTGATGAAGGAAATCAGAAAAGGGTGCCTACATTCAATAATCTGAATTCTTCGGAGACAGCTCAGTACTCTGCAAGTCAAAAGAAGAATAAATTATTACAGAAGACTCTCCAATGCAGCTGCTTCATATTAAACACTGTCAAATAACTCCCAACTTTCTTTGATCTGAATGAATTCTCCATATTACTTTGGTGACCTTTAGCACATCTCTTTTTGACTTCCATTCTTTCCTCTTTTATTCTATTTCTGCCTATAAATGTTCATTCCTCATTTTCACTATGTAGCATATATAAACTTATGTATCATATAACTGTGTGTATGTGTATATATATATATATATATATATAGAGAGAGAGAGAGAGAGAGAGAGAGAGAGAGAGAGAGAGATAAGATGTTCAGTTGCTTTTATTTTATGAATGGATAAAAAAACAGTAAGTGTTGTAGTAACTTAAAAAAATGATAAAGACACAAGAAGTTAAATAATCTAGCAAGAAATAAAACCATAATGCCCTGGGCTGCTGGAGTATTCTCCCTCTGATGATTTAAGGCATAAAAAAGACAAATCACACAAATTCTGTATCTAATGACTTTTTATGTTTTTCCTAGGAGTAACAGTAATGATTTCAAAACTTTGGAAGAAAAGAATCAACAAAATGTTGAGGAAGACAAAAGAGTACATAATGAAAATAAAAGCTATGTTCTTTGGGGAAAAAAATTGAAAGGTTGTAAATAGAGGAATAAGAAAATGGAGAAAACTGAAATTCCACAGGCAAAGTGTCTTCTATTATTTCATCTTTAAGACAGAATATAAAGCAAATAAACAAAACATCAATAGGGCAAAAAATATATTTATTATATTATAGGTTTATTTTTTATAAATTTATCATAATAAATCTATGGCTACAGAATAATAAGAACAGTATTACTTATTGTGTACATACTAAGTTCCATGTTTTAACAGTTATAGTGTATAGATAACTTAAAAACTACAGATTAGAATAAGCAAAAACTGTGTGCTTTGAAACTTTTCGTTTCAAAATAAATTAAAAGATATAAGCAGTTTAGGCTGGGCGTGGTGGCTCATGCCTGTAATCCCAGCACTTTGGGAGGCCGAGGTGGGTGGATCTCTTGTGGTCGGGAGTTCAAGACCAACATGACGGAACCCTGTCTCTACTAAAAAATATAAAAATTAGCTGGGCATGGTGGTGCATGCCTGTAACCCCAGCTACTTGGGAGGCTGAGGCAGGAGGATCATTTGAACCCCTGAGACAGAGGTTGCAGTGAGCCAAGATCACACCACTGCACTCCAGCTTGGGTGACAGAGAGAGACTCCATCTCAAAACAAACAAAAGATATAAGCAGTGTAAGCAGTTTAAAACTTTCCCAAGGTTTGCCTTTTCTTAAATAATTCTAACAAGCTAGACAACTTTTCTGGAGGGGAGAATAAATTTCTGTTTGAAATGAACTCAATAGTAACATTCTTTGAACACATGCTTTTACATTATTTATGTGCCAAAGTAAGTTATAAAGACTAATTCACGTTTGGCCATGTATTACAAAATAATAATAAAATATACTAGAACATAGAACTGCTAATGAATCACTTATAGAACAGTAAATATAATACACCTGTACATCCAGAATCAAATTCTTCTTTTTAGGGGGACCATTACAAAGACTGTTTTTGTCCCTATCTTCGTATCACCTATCGAAGCTAAAACATTTCTTAAAGAATTTGATTCTTTGTTAAATGTAGATAGGTGACCTCCTAACAGCACCTAATATACAGAGTTACTATTCCATGGAATCACCTGTCCTTCAGTCAGTACAACTCTGAAATGCTCTGTCATACTTGCTGGAAATGGCACACATAAACAATTACATATAATCTTAGTACATTTTGAAAAAATAAGTTAATATAATACTCTCGATCAATCCCAAATAAATGCATTTTATTTTCCCTCTCACCACCACTTACTTATTATCCAATAGTTTAAAATGCAGACCAAACTTACTTTACAGACAGTATTGAGTTTTGAACAAACCATTTAGTTTATCTTGGGATGATGTAAGAATTTTAATTAGTTAATGATTACAAATCACTTTAGATCCTTAGAGTAAAGAAGTTATAGGATGATAAAGTGTTTGTATCATTGCAAAATTGTGAGTATAACATTGCATTAATTATGACTTTACATGGACTATAACTTTGAGGCATTTAACTCTGGAGATAATTTCAAGTGTTGACAGTCTTCTTGGAAGTTATGCAAAACTGTGTTGCTAGACCATGGTTGCTATGCTATGGGTTTTATCAATTTATGCTGTCCCTGTTTGGTATAAATCTCTAAATTTTTTTAAACCAAGGCTACTTTCTGCTATAGGGTGTATTATTCGACAAATTATTTTCACTCAAATTTATTCTTTGTACAATTCAATAGGATTCTGTCATTGGAACTAACTCAGAGATTAATTAGATTGCCCCATCAGTTTTATATCTTTTGCTAGCACTATTTACATGTTTCTCATATTTAAAATTAATAGCTTTATTTACCTACAAAGTCAATGACATGAACACATAAGTTAAGTGGCTTAGAACTAAACTATTATCATCAATTAGAAATACTTGTTGAGGTGGAGCCGTAGCTCACGCCTGTAATACCAATACTTTGGGAGGCTGAGGCAAGCAGATCACTTGAGGCCAGGAGCTTGGGTCCAGCCTGGCCAACATGCGAAAGCCCATCTCTACTAAAAGTACAAAAATCAGTCAGGCGTGGTGGCACATGCCTGTAATCCCAGCCACTTGGGAGGCTGAAGCAGGAGAATCACTTGAAGCTGGGAGGCGGAGGTTGCAGTGAGCCAAGATGGTGCCACTGCACTCCAGCCTGGGCCAAAGAGACTCTGAGAAAGAAAAGAAAGAAAGAGAGAAAGGGAGAAAGGGGGAAAGGGAGAAAGGGGGAGAGAGAGAGAGAGAGGGAAGGAGGGAGGGAGGGAGGGAAGGAAGGAAGGAAAGAAAGAGAGAGAGAGAAAGAAGGAAAGAAAGAAAGAAAGAAAAAGAAAGAAAGAAATAAAGAAAGAAAGAAAGAAAGAAAGAAAGAGAAAGACTTGTTGAAGTTATACAAATCTTTTCTTCTAGCTTTATTGATTAAAATTCTTTTAGTGTCTTCCCATTCCAGTAGAAAAAAAGTGTTGGTGTAAGAGAGTTTTTATTCTTGGGACTCAACCTATCTTCAACTTCTGATGCTTTTCGATTTTACCACTTCTGTTTAACTCACACAGGTCCACATGTACACACACACACACGCGCACGCGCGCGCGCGCACACACACACACACACACACACACACACTGTGTTTCAAGAACATGGATGGCCCGCGTTCCTTTGAATACCTAAAAACTGCCTTCCTCCTTTGTATCCATCTGAAAATATTCTTTTTATGCTGTTCAAGTATCTTTTTATGCTGTTCAAATAGTTGACTTTTGCAAAGACTTCTTCAACATCCAAAAATAATCCATTAATTCTTCTCATATTGATTCTTAATAAAATATCATTTTTGGTTTCTACTATGTCTACATGTACCATTAATTTATGGGATCTTGAAGAAAAAGAAAAAAGATAAAATGAATAATTTTTATATCAATCCAACTTTGAAATAAGTATTTTTTCTCCCCATTTTTCCTGTGATAAAACTGGGTAATATCAAGGTCAAGTAATAGCCAAGGTCATATGGCTACTAAGTGGCAGAGTCAGAATCTTGACCCCAAATTCATCCAACTCTAAAGCCTATTACCTTCCACTGTGTGAACAAGACTGTGTCTTAGTTCATTTTGAGCTCAAGTTCCTTACACCATGCCTGGAAAACAACATTAAATTAGTAAATGAATAGAGGTATAGATGACTAAAACTCACAGGACATGAATTCGACTACTTAAGTGGTAGGGATGAAACGCTTGATGAACAAGATGAGAACACCACAGCGACCTCCAGCATGTAATCCCTGCTTTTTACCAGCCCCAGCCCTGTACTGAGTGATAGCATAATGATGTCACTCATCTCCGGGAGACCTGCTCCAGCCATCTGCCATCATGGGGACTTTTGGCATATACAGGGTGGTCATTGTTTCTCACATCACTGCTATTTTGGCAACACTCAATGTTTTGGACTTCCTTTTCTCCAAATGTACATATTTTATACATATTCCACCATTTTATAACTACTTTTTTAAAAGGCAATATAATATTATGTAAAAAAAGCATAGATAATGATTCCTTGATCCTAGCTCTGCCTACCTGTCCCTGGTTGAATGATCTTGGACAGATTGCTTAACATTTCTATATGTCCTTTCACTCATATGTAAAGTGAGATAAATAATACCTACTTCAGAAGGTCGTTGAGAGAATTCTATGGAGAAATGCACAAAAATTGCCCAGTACGGTCCCTGAGATAAAGCAGACCTTCCTTGAATATTAGTCTTTCCCCAGTAACCCTAAGAACACTCCTTGACTGTGTCTAATACTCAAGATCATGCTTGCTGTCACATCGCTCTGTTTCCTACTGCAGGCTGGGTGCAGTACCTGAGCAAATTCAGTGTTGTGATCATGAGTAGCTGCCACAGAGAAGGATGGGTAAAAGAGAGTGGACACGTTGATTAAAGATAGAGTGCAAAGAGAGGCCTGACCAGTTTACATTGGCTCGTTTGTTTCAACAGACCTGGTTCTCTTAAGACAGTGTCTGTGTAAGATTAATAACTTTTACTTACCTAAAGGAGGCAAAAATAGTTTAAATGAAGAATTCCCAAATGAAGGCACTGCTTATCACATTATCATTCCCCTAGGGAGACTACATCCTCCCTAGAATTCATTTCTTGATCATGTCTATTAAGAAGAAAAATAATAAATCTTCCAGATGCAAATAAACTATTGTTCAGTGTTCACTTCGTTCCCAAACACCCCAAAGTCAAGCTACTCCAGTTTATGGTTTACTTTCTCCACTTTCTTCTTTATGCATTCAAATTGACAAATGCCCTTGTACATTATTTTTAACCTGCCCATATCTAATGCATCAGTATCTTGTTATGTTTCCCTTGATTTCATTGCTTGCAATGCTGGTATCAGCAGCACAGAATTGCCAAAGCACTAAGCAGCCCAATTTTTCTTTAATTTCTCAGGAAATTGACAGTTTTATGAACTGTCTCTTTACCTATGCCCCATAAACATGTCAGGCTGTGGAAAACCATTCTAATTAAATCCCAGGGGACCGCAATGGAAGATTATAGCTTCTTGGCAGGTTATTAAAAAACAGTTGTTCATATATACACAAGTATGTGTACTGGAGCCTAACATTTGACAGAACAGTCAAGGAATTAACCCCACTACCAGCTTCAGCTCCAACCCACTGAAGAGAAATGAGCAAAGTGAGTGAAAGAAGAAGACTGCCCTATTCAGTCTTTTATTTTTATATCCTTAGTGGGTTCCTATAGATCACCAGATAGTTTAAAAGGTGTCTGAGGTCTCCACCTTCCTCAATGGATTTTATATACCTGCTAGAGCGAACATATACAACTACTATTTTTCGAATGAGTAATTTCTGACACCAGGATGCACATGAAATACATCTCATCAAGCTGGTGGAAAAACAAATAAAATAAAAAGAGTTTTCCTCTCTCAGAAATTCAGAATGGAAACATCTGGTACATAGAAAGTCAAATTTAGGGAAAAAAGATAACTGTCATTTGTGAAATTGTTTTTCAATAGCATATTTATTCTTGCCAGATGAACCACCCATTGTAACTGGATAGGTAAATATTGCAACCTGATTGGTGACGGCCATTTCTTGAGTGGTTAAATTAAAATCCAATGTCAAGAGGAATGATCTGAAAGGTTGCCTGCAGGATATATGATTCATAGAAAAAGAGTATGACATTTAATTAATTAGTTTAATTGGAAATTGTGTACTAGCTAAATAATGATTCTACCTGACATATTCAAGAGTCGTTAAAGTGTGATCCTGAAAATATATCTTCCCATTTCCCAATGAGAAACAGCCTGGTGGTTATGACATCTTGCTCCTAAGATTGGTGTTCATACTCAGCCTCTCACAGGGACAGTTCCGCTTTCTCTCTTCCATAGCTATGGAGTGTACCAAAATTTTCTGGCAACTATATGAAAAATATAGTTTTGGCCATGGTCTAAAGGAAAATTGAGTTGAGAAATTACTGTTGCCTCATTGCAAATCCAGCATCACTACTGTACAACCAGCCCACATGCCTTTCCTCAGAATAAAGATCAAGTGGTGCCAGCTTTGTAAATAAAAATCTTCCTGTATGTCACCTAGAATCCAAGCCAGTTGCCAATCGAATAGACTAAAATAAACTTGAGACTACTCATTAATCAGGTCCTATGTGATAATGAACACAATAGCATCTTGAAAACCATATGAGAAAATGGGCCCAGTACTTGGAAAATTTAATTGGTTTGGCCTATATTTTTCTGTTGTCTGTTTTTTTCTTCTATCTCTTTTGACACTTATTTCCTCTTACTTCCATCCTCATATCCCCTATGTTTTCCAGAATGCTTTTCCTCTGCCTACAAATATGCTCAATTCTCCTTTAACCAAATATAAAAGTCTTTCCTTGAACCTACTTCATCCTAAAGCCTCTATTTCTTCCTTCCCTTCACTGAAAAAAAAAAATCTTGCAAAACTACCTGTTCTAATTCTAGTTTCTCATCTGCTCAGCTGGCTACCTCTCCATCACTTCCAAACTGTGCTTAAGAACCTCATGCTCCTATTGAAAAGTGGCACCCAAGGATGACTAAAGAATATTCAGCCATGTGATGATCTCTCTCCACTCTGGACATGGTTTAGCTTATTCATTTCATGTCCTGGGAATCCGCTTGTGTCTGCCTTGTCTGTAGCTCTTGACCACCTATTAGCATCCTGAATCTGGCCTTTGGGCACTGCTCATGTCTAGTTAACGGCTCCCCTATGATAAACCATTCCAGGTGCATCATCTCTCAGGTCCTGTTTGGCTACAAGGTTTTCCAACTTCAACCTCTTAACTCTCCTAACTCAGGTACAGAGTTTCTGGTCAGTGGTCAGTCCCATGATTAAGGTATTCTATCCATATCACATTCTTTATTGAGTTAATAAGTGCATAACTGCAACCTAAGATTTATTCTTTCCCAATTTCCTCTTTTATTCAATCTTTCAATTGAGTACTGGTTCATCCTCGAGAACCTCTCTTCTTAGTTTGCATGTTACCAAACTATCTTGACTGTTTCTAACTCTATGAAATCTCTCTCTTAATCCTGTTCAGCAATACCTCATAGTCTTTCTTCCCCTTAATGATAAAGATTATGCAAGATTATCTAATAAGCCATCTTTGTCTCTTTCTGTACAATCTCCCAAATTAATATGCTGTTCTATGGATTTGTTGCAGTCTCAATATCAAAAACTACCAAATCTCTCTCTCTTTTCTCCCTTCAGCTTCAGACTTCAGTTTCCCATTGGTCTTTGGCCATTAATATTTGGATGCCTACCTAACTTAATATCTTCCAAATGAAAGTGTCCCCACAAGCCCAGTTATTCTTCCTTGTCTTTCAAAAGTCCATTGAAAACTATTTTCTCAGACTCCAAAGTTTCATTAGTATTTTTGACTACTAATTTTTACCAAGTAGCCAAATATTGTGTCTTTTACCTCTAAAAAATCTCACACATCTAACCAATCTTGCCCAATTCCCCTGCAATTTTTGTCAACTTTCAAATTTATTGCAATAATCTGTAATTGATTTATTTGCAACATCTTCTCATCAAACATACTATCTTTAAATCTTCCTTGCTAAAATTTAATTGCAATCAAGTCTTCCATGTGTTTAAAAAAGTTAAATAACAATTATAAGATAATTTATTATTGCCAAAAATGTTTAGAACCAATTCCCCATCCTTACACTCTGCCTTCAATCGCCTACTCTCCACCTCCTTACTCCAATTACAGCCAGACTCACAGAAGCATTTCCCTATCTCAACCAACCATATGTATAAACGCCTTCACTATTTACTTACATTCTTTCCTCTGCCTTTCAAAGTTTCCTTGACTATCTACATTTTTAAAATATATATGTATTTTTTTGCCATGTTGCCATGATGATTCCAAGTCTAGGGCAAGAAATATTTAAGATGAACACAGACCAGACATCTTGATCAGAGAGCAACAAAGCTGTGAAAGATTACTAGGGTCCCATTAGGGGATGGAAGCAACCGAAAGAATTCCCACTTGCCAAAGATTGGGCTCTGCTTGCCAAAAAGGGTAATATCTAAAAACTATCACAGCACATTAAATTTATTAAAAAGTCATGAGTTTATAATGACCTTTTAAAATATCATAAGAAAATAGTTCCCATCCTTTGAGGTCTATTTCTAACGGAACCTTGTTCACATATTGGTTTTTGATTCCTTCAAATGAATTGATCAGCTCCGTCTTTTGAATTTTTATAACATTTCACTCTTACTACTAATATTCTATTTATATTAATCTACATGCATCTAATAATATGAAAAACAGGTGATTCATAAAATCACCTTTAGGGTCAAGATTGCATTTAAGATGCATAGAAGTGTTTTTTGAATGCTAGGTGACTTATTCTTCCACCCCAACAGTTCTAGTAAGAACCAATGTCTTACAAAACTAAAAATTTTAAGTATTCTCTTTTTGTTTATTTTCATCATTTTAAAGTTAAATTTACTCAACTTAATACCTATAACTTTTTTGTCTGTTACTTCAAATGCTCTGGCAAATAAAGTTATTATAAGAAAAGGGGAATCGTATATTAGTAGCCTGTTACACTGCAACTGTCCCTTTTATTGATATTCAATAAAGATTGTTAGGGAACCGAGTATAAGAAATCACTATTTCCATATTTGTAATGAATAAAAAAAAATAGGCCTGGTATCGTGGCTTGAGCCTGTAATCTCAGCACTTTGGGAGGCTGAGGAGGGTGGATCTCTTGACGTCAGAAGTTTGAGACTAGCCTGGCCAACATGGGGAAACCCTGTCTCTACTAAAAATACAAAAATTAGCCAAGGATGGTGGCTCATGCCTGTAATCCCAGCTACTCGGGAGGCTGAGGCAGGAGAATCACTTGAACCCAGGAGGCAGAGATTACAGTGAGCCAAGATTGCAACACTACACTTCAGCCTGGGTGACACAGCAAGACTCTGTCTTAAAAAATAAAAATAAAATAAAATAAAATAACAGAGGAACAGAATAATTTGAAACATTTTAAGAAACTAAGATTCTTATATCTGGTTTATTATTAGAAAATAATAAATGAAAACAGTTTAGTTTAGTTTATTTCCATTATAATTACTACAAAGATTGTAAAACATTGTTTTCAGCACTTTAGTGGGCTTTGAGAAGTGATTAAACTTGCAAGTAACACTGAGAAACGTAGCACCTTGCAACCATGCAGCCAAGCTGGTGGACTAGCAACATGGCCATTGCCTGTGAGATTTTTAGCTATGTAGAACCCCAAGACCCACTCCAGAATGACTTAATCATCATCTGCATGTTAACAAGACTCCAGGTGGTTCCCGTGCATATTAAAGTTTGAGAAGCACTGATGCAGCACACTGCAGGTGACGAACACACCTACTGCCTATTGAAATCTGTCTTTCAAGCTAGGATCACTAGTCAAGGATTGAAGGCAGTCCTCTTAATTAACAAGAACTAATTTCTACATAATTTCTACATGATATATCTTTTAAAATGAGGATTAGTCTTGCCATTATTCTTGGGAATTTTACTGTGTATGCAATGATCCATGGAACTCTCTGGACTTCCAGTATCTTGACCTTTTTAATTCCAAATTTTCTTTCAGTCCCCTTCTGTGCCTCGTTTCAGGGGTTTGACTCTAGACCCAGGATCAGTACGTAGAGCTACAAACTCTTTCCTAACACTAGATGTCCCTCCCTCTTTAACTTATTCTGTAAAGAGCTACCAAAGAATTCTTTGTAAATGCTGTGATATTTTATCACGATTACTCTCTCTTCTACTATTTGTAATGACCTCTTTAATAGCACCTACCAAATTGTTTGGTAATTTTTGGGTCTCGATGTTGATTCACTCCTCCCAATCTCCAACCCTTACAGTGTGTGAGATGATTCCCTATCATCTCTGTGACATAAATGACTAGCCCAGTTCCTGTCTCAAAGCAGGCACATACTAAATATTGGTTGAAGAACAGACACTGTCAGAAGGTTTTTCTCAGCTTTCAAGAACCTTCACACACAGCCATTTGGACTAAATATGAGTACCTTCACTTTGCAAATGAGGAAACTCATGGCCATGACTTGCCAAAAATCCAAAGATTGGAAATGGAATGAGCAACAAAGCTGTCTTTGACTATTCTGTGATGCTATAGCAGAATGCCTGAGACTGAATAATTTACACTGAACAGGTATTTACTGCCTCACAGTTCTAGAGGCTGAGAAGTCCAAGATCAAGGGGCCAGCATCTCACAAGCTCCCTCTTACTGTGTCATCCCATGGACGAAGGGCAAAGAGAAGGTGAGAGACAGAAAGAGATCTAAACAGTAGCCTCAAGCCCTTTTATAACAGCATTAATCTACTCACGAGGGTTCCACTTCACCTAAACTCCTCCGAACACTGTTGCATTAGGGATTAAGTTTCCAACACTTCCTTCATAGGGAACACATTCAAGGTAGGTAAAAACTCAAGTTTTCTGCTTCTATTAAGCATTTATGCATGGATTTTCATTTTAGTAGGATGTTTTTCCTGTTTAAAGTTATCAAAATAATTTAGTAGGATGTTTGCCAATTTTACATTTTAAGTCTTGCCACAATCCACCTTTTCTTGTTCATCCACTGGTAAGAGTGCACTTTCTCTTTTATATTCAGGTAAATCTGCTCACCGACCCACTCACCTCATGTCTCTTCCTTCCTCAATACCTATGTTCATTCAGTTGTTCTACAAGAAATGCTTTAATCCTTAAATAAATCCAACTCATCATTTAAAAGCTAGTTAATACAATCTCTAAAATTCTGTTTCAATGTTACTCAATACTGCATAATTTTGCATAGCTTCAATTTTCAAAATTACAATTATCTTGATTTAGTTAAATAAAATCAATTCCCCCAACAACATGGTTCCAATTTCAGCTACCATGGCATATTAACTGTGAGTAATTGCACGAAGAAAAACCATGCTGCTAACTCTAGTTCAAGTTTAGTTAAAGATCTACATCACGATCAGTGCACAACCATGTCACTTCCTCCAGAGTCTGCTGGTAATTGGTCACTGTGCCTCTGTTACCAGTTCACACAGAGACAGCAAGGTGGGTAGCTGTGTTGACTCTTAATCTCTCACCAATCACTCCAAGTAACATTTTACAAATGTGGATTATCAAAAGAGAAAATTAGTCAACCTACGTGACAATGTAACAAAAAATGAAAAGTGGTAATATTGAAAATGAAAGTAGGATCAGCGGTAACAGAGTCCTAGAAGAAATAGCTGATCGTGGAATGCTGATGCTGCCACCCTTCTGGAGATTCTAGATGTGCAGCCAGAGGAACTTAGTGAGGGCAAACTTACTGACAAAAGAAGAATGTGGTTGTGATGAAAAGGATGAACATGCTGACAAAACAAAGCAAAAGAAAACAACTTCACAGATAATTCATGGCATTGAAAATGCAAAGGATAAAATGTCAGAAGCTGACCCAAACTGAGAAAAGAGCATGAAAATTTGCCAAGGCATAGAGAACATGAGCTCTCCATAGTAGAAGCTATACAAAAAGAACAAAGGCAAGCACTGTTCAAGCAACTCTAGATACATTTTTAATTAAAAAATCTTTAATTCTTAATGTAATTTAATATTTAAATTACACCACAGTAAGTAAATATTAGCTTTACTATTTTTATTTCATTTGCAAATGCTTATAATCAACAACACAATAATTCTTTTTTTTAATTTCAACTTTAATTTTAGATTCAGGGTGTACATATATAGGTTAGTTACATGGTATATTGTGTGATACTAGGGTTTGGGGTATGGATCTCGTCACCCAGGTAGCAAGCATGGTACCCAATAGGTAGTTTTTCAACCCACGCCTCCTCTCTTCCTCCCCTTTCTGTTAGTCCACAGTGTCTATTGTTTTCATATTTGTTTCCATATGTGCTCAATATTTAACTTCTACTTATATGTGAGAATGTGCAATATTTGGTTTTCTATTCCTGTATTAATTTTAGGATTATGACTTCCAGCTCCATCCATATTACTTCAAAGGACATGACTTTATTCTTTTTTATGGCTGCATAGTATTTCATGGTGTATATATACCACATTTTCTTTTTCTAATCCACCAGTGATGGACGCCTAGGTTGATTCCATGTCTTTGCTGTTGTGAATTGCACAGCAGAGTACATATGAGTACATTTGTCTTTTTGGTAGGATGATTTCTTTTCCAGTGGGATTGCTGGGTTGAATTGTGGCTCTGTTTTAAGCTCTTTGAGAAGTCTCCAAATTGCTTTCCACAGTGGTCGATTTACATTCCTATCAACAGTACATAAGTGTACCCTTTTCTCCACAGTCTTATCAGCATCCATTATTATTATTATTTTTTTTACTTTTTAGTAATAGCCATTTTGACTGGTGTGAGATGGTATCTCAATGCGGTTTTGATTTGCATTTCTCTGATGATTAGTAATGATGAGCATTTTTTCATATGTCTGTTGGCCACTCAAATGTCTTCTTTTGAGAAGTTTCTATTAATGTCTTTTGTCCATTTTTTAATGAGGTTATTTGTTTTTTGCTTGTTGAATTGTTAAGTTGCTTCTAGATCCTGGATATTAGACCTTTGTTGGACGAATAGTTTGTGAATATTTTCTCCCATTCTGTAAGTTCTCTGTTTACTCTGTTGATAATTTCTTTTGCTGTGCAGAAGTTCTCCAGTTTAATTAGCTCTCACTTGTCAATTTTTGTTTTCGTTCCAGTTGCTTTTGGGGACTTAGCCAAAAATTCTTTACCAAGGCCAATATCGAGAAGGGTATTTCCTAGGGTTTTTCTAGGATTTTTATAGTTTTAGGTCTTACATTTAAATATTTAACCCATCTTGAGTTAATTTTTGTATATGGTGAGAGGTAGGGTCCAGTTTCATTTTGCATATGGCTAGCTAGTTATTCCAGTACCATTTATTGAGTAGGGAGTCCTTTCCCCATTGCTTGTTTTTGTCAGCCTTGTCGAAGATCAGATGGTTGTAGATGTGCAGCTTTATTTCTGAGTTTTGTATTCTGTTCCATTTGATCCATGTGTCTGTTTTGTACCAGTACCATGCTGTTTTGATTACTGTAGGCTCATAGTATAGTTTGAAGTCAGGTAGTGTGATGTTCCAGCTTTGTTCTTTTTGCTTAAAAATGCTTTGGCTATTTGGGCTATTTTGTGGTTCTGTATGAATTTTAGACTAATTTTTTCTAGGCCTGTGAAAAATAATGTTGGTAGTTTGATAGAAATAATGTTGAATCTGTAAACTGCTTTGGGCAATGTGGCCATTTTAATGATATTAATTCTTCCAACTCGTGATCATGGAATTTTTTTACTTACTTATTTGTGTCATCTCTGATTTCTTCAAGTGATGTTTTGTAGTTCTCTTTGTAGAGATCTTTCACCTCCTTGGTTAGCTGTATACCTAGGTATTTCATTTTCTTTTTGTCTATTGTAAATGGAATTGTGCTCTTGATTTGACTCTCAGCCTGGACATTATTGGTGTATACAAATGCTACTAATTTTTGTACATTGATTTTGTATCCTCAAACTTTATTAAAGACATTTATCAGTTCTAGGAGCCTTTTGGTGCAGTCTTCAGGGTTTTCTAGGTGTGGAATCATATCATCAGTGAAGAGAGATAGTTTGACTTCTTCTTTTTCCTATTTAGCTGCCTTTTATTTATTTCTCTTTCCCAGTTGCTCTGGGTAGGACTTCCAGTACTATGTTGAATATGAGTGGACAGAGTGGGCATCCTTGTCTTGTTCCAATTCTCAAGGGCAACGGTTTCAGCTTTTGTCCATTCAGTATGATGTTTCCTGTGGGTTTGTCATAGATGGCACTTAAGTTGTAGATGACTCTTTGTCTGTTAAGGATTTTTATCATGAAAGAGTGTTGTGTTTTTTCAAAAGCTTTTTTCTGCATGTATTGAAACGATCATATGGTTTTTGTTTTTAATTCTGCTTATGTAGTGAATCACATTTATTGATTTGTATACGTTGAACCAACCCCAACTTTGCATCCAAGGAATAAAGCCTACTTGATTGCAATGAATTAACTTTTTTATGTGCTGCTGGATATGGTTTGCTAGTATTTTGTTGAAGATTTTTCTGCATCAGTGTTCATCAGGGATATTGGCCTGAAGTTTTCTTTTTTCGTTGTGTCTCTGCCATATTTTGGTATCAGGCTTCATGGAATGAGTTAGGGAGGAGCCAGCTCCCTCATCCCTCGATTTTTTGGAATAGTTTCAGTAGTATTGGTATGGGTTCCTCTTTGTATATCTGGTAGAATTTGGCTGTGAATTCATCTGGTCCAGGGCTTTTTTTTGGTTAGTAGATTTTATTACTGATTCAGTTTCAGAACTCAATACTGGTCTATTCAGGGTTTCAATCTCTTCCTGATTCAATCCTGGAAGGTTGTATGTTTTCAGGAATTTATACATATCTTCTCTAAATTTTCCAACTTGTGTGCCCAGCGTTGTTCAAAGTAGTCTCTTGTATTTCTGTGCTATCAGTTGTAATGTCATTTCTGATTGCAGTATAAAATTTCTTAAGGTTTTAACAAATTCTTAAGCAAGAGCACCATTAATTTTTTCTACTGATGATTAAGCTCTCTTTCCATAATTTCAGCTTGCATAGCCATTCTATGGTTTCACACTGCTGTGCTGAGAACTGCCTCTACCTGATTTTTCATGAATGTTAGTTCCATCTCAGCTAGGTTTAGAACTACTTGAAAATGGTACACTTTTTATAATCTTTTATTGAGGTAAAATTCACATAATACAAATTCACCATTTTAAAGAGTACAATTTATGGCTGTTAATACAGTCATAATGTTGTGTAACCACTACGACTATCTAGTTCTGTAACATTTTCATCATCCCTAAAGAAAATCCCATAACCATTAACCGGTCACTCCACCTTTTCCCCTCCTCTCTGCCACTTCCAACCACTAATCTACTTTATGTATGTATAGATTTACCTTCTAGAAGTTTCAGCTAAATGAAATTACACAACATGTGTTGTTTCTGTCTGGCTTCTCTAGCTTAACATAATGTGTTGAAGAGTCATCCATGTTGCAGCACACTCATTTTATGGTTGAATAATTTTTTCTTGTATGAATCTATCTTTTTTTGTTTATCCATTCATTAGCTCCTGGATATCATTCCCACCTTTGGGGTCTTGTGAATAGTGCTGCTATCAACATTTGTACACATATTTTTGGTTGAATATATGTTTTCAAACCTCTTAGGTATGTACCTGGGAATGGAATTATTGTGTCATATGGTAATACTGGTGTCTAATTTTCGAGGACTCACCAAACTGTTTTCTGCTGCAGCTGCATCATTTTACATTCCCACCAACAACGTATGAGGGTCCAAATTTCTCCACATCATTGACAACACTTTTGAAGTGTTTTCAGCCTAGTCATCCTAGTGGGTGTGATATGGTATCTGCTGATGGTATTGATTTGCATTTCCCTAATGACTAATGATGTTGAGCAACTTTTCCTGTGCTTTTTGGACATTCTTATCTTCTTTGAAGAAATATCTTTTCAAGCCCTTTGCCCATTTTTAAGTGGATCATTTGCCTTTTTGTCATTGAATTCTAAAAGCTATTTATATATTCTGGATGATAGATCTTTATCAGATATATAATTTGCAAATGTGTTTGGCCATCCTGTTGTTATCTTTTCACTTGACTGAAAGTGTCACTTGATGTACAAAAGATTTTAATTTTGATGAAGTCCAGTTTATATATTTTTGTTATTGTTCGTACTTTTGGTGTTATATCTAAGGACCATTGCCAAATCCAAGGTAATAAAGATGTACCCTAATGCTTTCTTCTAAGGCTTTTATAATTTTGGCTCTTATATTTAAGCCGTTGATCTACTTTGAGTTAATTTTTGTATGTGGTGTAAGGTAAGAATCTAAATTCATTCTCTGGCATGTGGATGCCCAGTTGTCCCAGCACCATTTGTTGAAGAGACTATTCTTTCTCATTGAATAATCTTGGCTTCCATGTAAAAAACTTAAGTGGTCTTAAATATATGGTTTACTTATGGACTCAGAAGTCTCTTCCGTTTATCTGCATTTCTATCCTTATCCCTATACAATGCTGTTTTTATTACTATAGCTTTGTATTGAGTTTTGAAATTAAGAACTGTCAGCCAACTTTGTTCCTTTTCAAGATTGTTTTGGATATTTGGGGTTCCTTGCAATGTTGTGATTTTGACTGGGATTACATTGACTCTACAAACCAATTTGGGAAGTACCACCACCTAAATAATATTAAGTCTTTTATTCCATTAACACAGGATCTATTTGTAATTATTTTGGTCTCCTTTAATTTCTTTCAACAATATTTTATAGTTTTCAGCGGGCAAATTTTGTAGTTATTTGGTTAAATTTGTTTCTGAACACTTTATTCTTTTGAAGATATTGTAAACGGAATGTTCTGAAGTTTATTTTTGATGGGTCATTGCTAGTGTAAAGAAACACAACTGATTTTTTATATGTTAGTCTTGTATCCTGAAACTTTTCTGATTTTGTTTATTAGTCTCAATAGTTTTATTGGTGAATTCCTTAGAATTTTCTGTAAGATCATGTCATCTGTGGATAGGGATAGTTTTACTTCTTCCTTTCCAACGGACGGCTTCTATTTTTTTCTCTTTCCTAATTTCTCTAGCTAGAACTTCCAGTACAATGTTGAATAGAAGTGGTGACAGCGGACATCTTTGTTTCATTCCTGATCATGTGAGTGGGGGCAGCTTTCTGCCTTTCATCAGTAAGGATGAGGTGGCTGTGGGTTTTTCATTAATATCCTTTACCATGTTTAAGGAAGTTCCCTTCTATTCCTAGTTAGTTATGAGTGTTTTTTTTAAAATCATGAAACAGTGTTATATTTTATCAGATGCTTTTTCTGCATTAATTAAGATGATCACACATTTGTTTTCCTCCATTCTATTAATGTGGTATGTTACATTGGTGGATGTTCACGTGTGGAACCACCCACACATCCCTAGGATAATCCTACTTGGACATGTGGTATAATCCTTTTAATATACTGTTGAAATCAGCTTGCTCACTATTTTTTTCGCACCTATATTCATTTGTTTTCCTTCATTCTATTAATGCGGTATGTTACATTGGTGGATGTTCATGTGTGGAACCACCCACATATTCCTAGGATAAATCCTACTTGGACATGTGGTATAATCCTTTTAATATACTGTTGAAATCAGTTTGCTCACTATTGCTGAACTTTTTCACATCTATATTCATAAGGGATATGGGCAGTAGTTTCTTTTCTTGTGATGTGTTTGTCTGGCTTTGGTATCAGGGTACTGGCCTAATATGAAGAGTTAGGAATATTTCCTCTTCTTCTGTTTCTTGGAGGGATTTGAAAAGGATTGAGGTTAATTCTTTTTTTGACATTTGGTAGAATTCAAAAATGGCATTATATTTTTCAGTTTGAGGGTATGTGTCGGGGGGTGGGTCAGTGTGTGTATTTGTTTGTATCCCTCACTGTGCTTAGCAGGGTACCAGACATAGAAAAAGAGATCTATAAATGCTTGGGTAAATTTCTAGACAAATGAGAACATTCATTTTAAAAATATACATAAGTCAACTTATACAAAGCTGTTTAGAAATATGCCCACTTTATGAATATGTTCCTCTAACAGCATTCCAGCCAGGCCCTGAAATGAAATGTTCAAAAGGCTAACATGGCAGGGATGATATGAACACACATTATGGACAGAGGAAAAGAGGAGCAAGCTCTACTGAGTGGCTTGAAAGGAATCCTTGGAGGTAGTACACTTACCATCCAAGGAGAAACTATGTAAAAATCCATAAATGGATTAACGAGCAGAACTGTGGCTGACGAAAACCAGATTAGCTCTGCCAAAGATGAGAGCCGTAAAATGCACCAAGAAAATATCCAACAATAAAAAGAGAAATTATCTGCTGGTAAAAATTCATGATTCTGAAAGTAGACACCACCAGCCTAATTTAATAATTGTAGAATCCCCGATGGAAGGAAAAAGAAGGATATGGTTGAGCCTTTTTCAAAATTTAATTAAAACCAACATGGCACTTATTCCTCTGCTCCTCCAAGATTCAAACAGTTTCACAGTGTAGCAGCAGACAGGCCACGGTCAGAGGCAGTGACTCACCATATTTTCAGAAGGGGATATTAAGAATCAAAGAGGCACAGTTCAGAATTACAAGGCATAAAGTTCCACATGCAGCTTGCAAATCTGTCCTTCCCTGTCTATTCACTGCATGGTTTCTGCAGCATAGTGCACATAGACAGTGTGTACCAAATGAGGGCTGGCTCCTGCCTGCCTCACAGCCAGCCCCTGGCAATGCCACAGTCATCAGGGCCTTCACGTCTCCCTGGGAAGAGGAGCGTTCTTCTCTTCCATGCCCAGGAAGGAAACTTACAAGATCACTCCCAGACATAAAGGGAAGCAAAGATCCTAATGCATATTTTAGGTCTGCTTGATATTTGTTGAGATGTAAACCCTACTGTTAGATGTTTCTCTTTTTTGCTACCTGCTGGAAGAATACAGGACCACATGCTAATTGCAGAATCCCTTTTTGAAAATCTTCAGATTCACATGCTGCTCTTACCATTTGCACTTAGCAGGCATCAGTCAAAATTTGTTAGATTTACTGGATTTGGCAGAAAACAATTTGAATACTAACTTTTGCTTTGAAATACATTTACACTACCCAAAAAAAGGGGAGAGAAGAGGAAAGTGGCGAGGAAAAATGGTGGTTAGCAGGAAAGCAAAGGCTCCACTGGATTTGGGTCAGCTTGGCAAGCTGCAACAAGCAAACATCCATGACATTTGCCGTTGCGGATTCACATCGCCTGTAACCCATTCCCCACAGCCTTCAGTCCGGGAAGTCAAGTTTATTGGTGAGTGATTTACTTGCAGAGGTGTTGAGCTGGACACAGGTAAATAATCTTTAGTGTCAAATTCTGCTCCAGAATATTAAAGGTATAAATACAAGTTATCTTTATTAAAGGTCTTATTGGATGTTTATGTTTTTACTTTCAGTGGTAGAAGTTTGACCCTGGAAATCTAAATAAATAAACAAAAAGCACTGGATACACAAATTTTGAATTAAAATGGACTCATCTGAAGATTTTCTACATTGGAGGAAAAGGCATATTATACAGTGATGCACTGAGTTGTCCAAAGTTCATTAATGTCAACTGCTAGCAAGAAAACTACAAGATCCTAGGGTTTCACATTTATTAAATCTGATAAGAATTCAAAATATGTCTCAAATGTTTTCTTATGAAATAATTCAGTTACCACTTTCTTTTCAAAGTTTTGGTGAGTTCATTAAACTAGATGGTTAGGAAACTCTTTTTGTAAGTTTGTTCCCTCTTGATTTCTCCTCCAATTCATTAGCTGTTCATTCTTAATCCGATACTTCATGGACAATTTTTTCTGTTATTTGTTTTCTCTACAATAGTACCTAAGATATATGAATGGCACATGGATTTTCAGTGTACTAATTGACTGGTTAGGTATGGCTTGCCCAGTCACTCAAGCAAGCTGTAACCTCATGCTGATATATGTATGTGTAAGGATACGTATGTGCGTGTCTGCCTCCCATAGCCATTATCAATCCATGTAGTAGCATTTTGTAATTATTTACACTTCAGAGTTTATAAGGCATTTTCATTAACAGTGTTTAGCTTAAACCCGATGAGCTAGGTAATTCTCATCCCTGTTTTATCAATGGTAAAAACTAGCTTCATATAGGTAGAAATAATTAACAATTTCACCTAACTACATGTATCTCCTGCATGTGTATTCTTATGAGTCCCAATTTAAATTTGTATCTGAACTCATATAACCTAGGGGTTGAGACCAAAGGCTTTGTAATAAGATAAGTCTGAGTTCAAATCCTAGCTCACCTACTTACCACCCTTGGCAAATTACTCCTTAAGTTTTAGTCTTCTTATTTAAATATAGGAAGTGTGCCTGTTACCCAGGGTTACTGTAAAGATTAACGGTGACATGTCTGACTCTTTTTACCAAGTATTAGTGATGTATTAATAACAATAAGAATGATAATATAAATGACATTGTTGTTTTGTTATTATTTATGAATCCAACTGCCATAGACTTGTTCTTTTATATTCACTGAATTAAATTTAATTCTTGCCCTCCTAAGAAATTAGAAAAGGCACGCTTAGGTATCCATATACAGTCACAACATAAGATTTCTGTCAATGACAAACCACAAACACGATAGTGGTCCCATAAAATTATATGCTGTATTTTTACTGTAGATTTTCTATGTTAGATACATAAATCCTTGCCATTGTGTTACAATTTCATGCAATATTCGGAACAGTTACATGCTGTACAGGTTTGTAGCCTAGGAGAGTTACAGTTTGTAGCTCTACCACATAGCCTGGGTGTGCAGTAGGCTACATCACCCATGTCTGTGTGAGTACACTATGGTGTTCATGCTCACACAATGATGGAATCACCTGACATGTACCTCAGAACGCATCCCTCTTGTCAAGTGATTCATGACTCTATTTGTCTGAAAAGTAACCATTGCGGCATGAAGCTAAGTTCAGGCTGTGTGGATGGGAGAAGTCATCGGGGGTTGGAGGAGTATTTGCAGCGTGGCTGCCCCAGGGAGGAGCTGCAGTAGCTACATGGGTGGTTTGAACAGATGAGGCCGGAGAGGATCAGGGATGGGGGAAAGGAGGTGGTAGTGGCAGAGGGTGCCTGCGAGAGCCTGCCACAGCAGGAATCCTAGCGCCTCCCATCAGCTCCTGCCCCACGCCTCTTCTTCTAGATCATTCAGGGCTGCTTTATTTTCCCCAGATTTTGCTTTTTTGGCTTAAAATGTTTCACCCTGTAATTCCACTTGCCTTGCAGTGCCTCTCCCACGAGAGCCACTCCTAGGTCAGCCAAAGGTCAAAATGCCAGGGACTCCAGTTTTCTAAAAATTCTGTCAGTGATGGGTTCTCTGTTATCTTGTCACTCCATTAGTGGGCTCCCTTTTCAGCCACAACTGTTTTCACCCTCCCCCTTCTAAATCTGATGCTTGAAATTTCCTTTTTAGGATTCCATCCTTTTTTCCACTCCCAAGCGCAAAGCTGAGCAAATGCTCCCAAAATGGCCAGTCTTGGGAGAAGTTGTCTCTGTTCTCATTGAAGGCAAAACCTATCCCCTAATTTTTGGTTAAGCGACCCTTCTTGAGGTGCAGCATAGTGCTTCAGGGCACAAGGAGGTTAGCAACAGCCTGCCTAGTGAAGACCCTGCCCTGCAACTTTTTGGTCACGGGCCTCAGCGAAGTCACTCAACCTCTTGATTTATCAGTTTCCTCCCTGTATAGTACAGGGACAATAACAGAACCAAACTCCTAGAGTTGTTATTAGTTAATATTTTTCATTTTTATGACAGAGTATGGCACCAATTAAGCTCCATTCAAGTGTTTATTAAAAAGTAATCAGTAAATATTTGATCTTAAATTATGTTGCAGACACGCATCTACATTCCCAGCTACTTGACAGGCTGAGATGAAAGTATCTTAAGGCCAGGGGTTTGATTCAAGACCAGCCTGGGTAACATAGAGAGACCCTGTCTCTAAAAAATATCTCTGTCTTACTTCATTTGGGTTGGTATGACAAAATACTACACAGTAGATAGGTTAAACAACAACATCCATTTCTCCATCCTGGAGGCTAAGAAGTCCAGATCAAGGCATCTGCAGATCCAGTGTCTGGGGAGGGCTTCCTAGTTCATAGATCACATCCTCCTCCTATGTCCTCCCATGGTGGAAAGAAAGCAAGAGAGCTCTCTGGGGCCCCTTTTATAATAAGGGCATTATATTCATTCATGAGGAGTCCATCCTCATGAGCTAGTCATCTCCCAGAGGCCCCACATCCTAGTGCCATCACATTGGGAGTTAGGATTTCAACCTATGAATTTGTGGGGGGGAACACAAACATTCAGTCCACTACAAACTCACCTGCCACAGAAACTTCCTGAACTAGCTTGTCCTCTGCCTAACACTTCTACTTACTTGCTGGCCAGCCACCAGCAACTTGAATTAACAAAGAAAACTCATGCAAATTTTATTTACCTAATATGTCATCTCAGACTCAAAAACTGCCTCATACATGAGTATGCTATTCTTGAACTTTATTATTTACTTTTCCAGGCCCTGATTTCTAGGCCATTGTCTCTTCTTAAACATCAGTATAATAAATAGCATTGCTTTCACTGAAATCCTTCTAGCTGCGGTCCCCCAGACCTAAGTCCTCTCCTCTGGACAAGTATAAGGGGTGGGTGTTGAGAAGAAACTAAAGGTAGAGAATGGCTGTAGAGACTGCTATGAGTAGGGCTTGTGCAGGCATTAGAAGGAAGAGCTGATTACAAGACTGATTTCTGCACCTCTCCAGTGGTTGCACCCACAGCTCATCCTGAAGTTAGATGTGCTATAAGACGCAAGAGACAAGAAAAGCCTCTCCTCCTTACTGCTCAGGAAACTTGTCTTCCGGTGTTTCTAATTTTTGCCTAGCCAGACCACAAGTTTACAATAGCCAAAGTAGCTTTCTAAACAGGAGGTCTATTTTTTCCCTTTGTGAGTAGTGGAAATTTATACAGAGTAGCAGTCATGGAGGAGGTCAGTAAACTGCATCATGTACATATCTGTTTACAAAGTGAAAGATCTTATAAAGCCTCCTTTTCTCCTTTTGATCAGAGTGAAGCAAACCACCATGGCATGTGTATACCTATGTAGCAAACCTGCATGTTCTGTACATGTATCCCAGAACTTAAAGTATAATTTAAAAAATTAAAAAAAAAAGAGGTGGAGTGTAATTTCCCTCCCTTTGACCGTGGCTGAGAACAAGCTACTTGCTTCTAATGAACTGAGAAAAAAGGTCTGTGATAGCATGCAAGGTAATAAATGGTTCTGCAACTTCAAAAAAAAAAAAAGAAATACAATAAACTTTTGAATAATGATCTGATACGTACACTTATTAGTTCTAATATTTTTATGTAGATTCATAAGATAGATGATTACATCAACTGTGAATAGAGACAGTTTGTTTTCTTTACAAATTAGGTGTCTTTTATATCTTTTCTTTGCTGTATTGCATGACTAGAACCTCCAGTTCTATGTTGAATAGAAGTAGTGGGAGCAGACATCCTTGCTTTCTTCCTGATTTTAGGGAAACATGTTAACTAATTAACTCTTAAGTTTAATGTTGGCTGTAGATGCCCTTGATCAAATTGAAAAAGTTCTCCTCTAGTCATAGAGTTTTCATGAGAAATGTATATTAGATTTTGTCGAATACTTTTTCTGCATCTATTAAAATGGTCATATGTTTTGCTTTTCATTTTATTTCTTTAAGTCTGTCATGGTGAATTATATAAATTAATTTTCAAAGGTTTCATCAACCTTGCATTCTTGTGATAAGCCTCAGTTGCTCATTATATATGAAATTGAATTCAACTATATATATATGTAGTAATTTTGCAAAGAAATTAAAAAAAAGAAAAGAAAGAAACTCATTTCTGTCACTCTTCTAAACATCACCTTGTGGTCAGACCTTTAATGAACATATGAGGCAAAAAAAAAATGGGCCCTGTGATTTATCAGACTGTGCGATTTAGATACGATTGAATTTAATGACCTCAGTGCTCTGCTTCTCTTTGGCAATGGAAAATGGCGTCATATGTTGGAGAGAAAGGACAGGTAGAACCAAGTATTCAAATCTCAAGTTTAGGCTCTAATTTCCCTAAGAGTCTTAAGAGCCAAGATGGGGTTTTGGTATGAATGCAGAGTATGCACAGGTTCCTAGTGGACACAGTAGGCTTTAAGATCCTCTTTTGTATTTTCCCCAGTGTCTGTGCAACGTTCTGTCCATACATGCTCCATAATAGATCTATATTGATTGATTTAGTGTATACGTAATAATAATGTGTTGTCTGTACTTGAAATGCTATGGCAGCTATATTAATAGTTAAATTACTTGCAGTTTCCCCATTGATGTCATATGAAATGGCAAAACTAAGAGCTCTATGTTGATGAATGAACACACAGGGCAAGCATCTGGGAGCACAAAGAGGTATCTCCCTCTGGTGGAATTTAATTGGCTTAAAGGAACAACTGCGCAATTATCTTCCCCTTTTTCTATTTTCTGTGCATAAAGATATTATTTCAGCATATATGTTTTCAGCACAATGTAGATAGAAAACTATTGAAAACATATTTGAAGCGAATCAGACAGCATGTATAAATAGTATGACTTTATTTACGTCTCCCTAATGAATGAGCCTAGCTTCATGAGTTGATCTATCCAGTTCCCATAATCTGTTTCTCTTTCCATCCATGAAGTCCATCAATCAGCTTTAATCAATATTTTTCAAAGGCAGCAGGGCTTTTGCTACTGGCTGATTAACACAGAGCTATTTAATCTTTGTCCATCAGTCTTACCTCCAAATTCTAGGTTCATATCCAATTGGCTTGAAAATCTGATTGATTTAACATTATCACTTTTCTGGAGACCTCAACATTTGTCAACGAGCCTTTAAAAGATACCCCATTTATACAGGTGAGGTATATTTAATGAATTATTATACTAAAAATCAGTGATTGAAGTAAATATTTCATTATTTATATTCTGTCATTTTAAAATAGCATGAATAAATAATTTGTACATCAATGTCTCTAATGGGTACTGGTTTATATATAAACTAATATACTACATTGCCATATTGAACTACATTTCTTATTGAAAGTGATGCTGGAATAGAAATAGGACTTGTTAATAATAATATTGTTTTGACAATAATAAAAACCCAAAATAAAAAGTATATATATGGATTGTGAACAAAAATTAGTTTCATAAAATTAGTTCTGTAGCTAGAATGCTTTCATAAACACAGATTTGGACTTATAAGTGTGAGAGTGTATTATATTTTTGAAATCTACCCACAAATAAATTTTCTAACCCTTTATTTATACACTTAGAGAATGCATGTTTACTATTATGTATAATACAATATTAATCCAAATTATAATTACAAGACAATAAAATTATCTTCTGTTAATTAAAAAGAGACCTTAGCACTGTAAATACCACACAGAAATGCTGAGTGAAAAATTCTGTTACTCATGCCAGGATTTCCACTCCTGGCTATGTTGAGTACACAGGAGTACAATGAAACCCCTGTCAAAAACAATGAGAAAAGTCAGATAAAACACAAAGTTATAAGTTTGAAAGCAGCACAAAGCCGCCAAGACAACCAGGAATTGAGGGGCCAAGATGTTGTAGAAAGGAGAACCAAGGAGAGATGAGCCTACTTCTTAGACCCATTTTTTCCTTGGAGCAGTTGCTGATTCTTGGCATTAGGTAAAAGGTGAAAAATTTGAGGTCAAGACCTGGGCCAGGAGGCCAATAGGCCAGCTGAGTGTCTCAGCTTCACAGGAATGGAGAGACAAAAATTGAATTCAGGGCCTCAAGGCAGCTTACATCCTGTAGAAAAGGGGAGGATGAACAAGTGAGCTCAAGGTCAAGGTCTTCACCAAATTCTTTAACTGTGAAGCAAGAGGTTAAGAAGCTAAGCTGAGACTCTGAAAATTAAAACAGAGTTTTCAGCAGTTTTACAGGGCCTAGGAAATAAATATTGCAGTTCAGAACCCACCAAGGAGTTGGGGATTTGAGTAAACACCCCCAATCTCTGGGGACTAACCCTTGGAGCAGTATGGACATGAGTTAGGAGCAGGCTGACAAAAATCGCAGCCTGACCCAGAGCAGCTCAGTTCCTGACTGACTGAAAATAAATGTTTCCCTTGTCTAACACAAGTTTTGATATGTTATATATTTTAAGTATGCACATATTATAACATTTTATATGAATATTTATATAATTGTGGATGTATGCATAAAATACATAAAACAGAATAAAATATAAATATCGGACATAAATATATGTAAAAATATAATAAATATATATTTATAATTATTTTATATATTTATATATTTTAAGTAATAGCATTTAAATATATAAATGAATATATAAACAAATATGTGAATAAATATATTTCATTATTTTTCTTATTTAAAGATCTAATAAATATGTGCACATAAATACTATATTTTTAATATTACAAGATGTATACATGCATTTTAGATGACAGTCAAAGAAAAGGCTGAAATCAATGATCTAAATATTCATATCTTAAAGGAGAAAAGTGTACACCAGCTTAAGTCTAATGAAAGTAAAAGAAGTCATAAAGAGAAGAAATATATCATGGATACCAGAAATGAGAAAGAAGTCATTATAGCAATCCTATGGATATTTTTTAAAGTATTAAAAGTGTAGGATACTGTGCCAATATCCTCTGTGCCAATAAATTAAAAAATTTTGATGAAATAGACAGATTCCTGAAAAAACTCAACTAAGAAACTAACACAAGAAGAAATACCAAATCTGAATAGGCTTGTATCTACAAAAGAAACTGAGTCTGTTATTAAGATATTTCCCCAAAGGAAATACCCAGGCTGAGAAATCTTCACCAGTGAATTCTTCCAAACATTTAAGAAGCAAAGAAGCCTATTCTTATATAAACTCTTTCACACAATAGAAAAAGAATAAATACTAGCCAGTTGAATAATAATTAAGTCAATACTAATTATATTCAATTGTACCAGATATAACATTGGTATCACTATATCAATAATAATTCAATAATAATAGTGTCATAATTATACCAGAAAAAAAAGTCAGCAAGAGCCTGTGCCCAGGGTCCCCAAAGACTTCTTCACAATAGCATTCAATCTTCTCAATGGCCATTTGTAAACACCTCTGATTGCAGGTTTTGCTCATCACTGTTTTCTTAAAATGACGGGCAAGGATGCTAAAGACGGTCGGAACCTACAGCTATCCCCACTATGGATATCTGCTTTCTGAGTCAGAGCTCTTCAATTAGATAATTAAAGTCTCATACCCAAATGACGAGCTTATTGTTCCCAGAGTAGAATGACTTTCTCAATCATAGACACAGAGTAAAATGCAGAGGCCCCTACATCCAGCAAAGCTGATGTACATAGGACCACACGTAACGTGTGCTGGGATTCCTCTTCAGCAACAAGCACAGTGCTTTTCACCCAGTAGACATTCAACAAATTTTCATTACTTTATTGGAAAAAAAAACACAACGTGCAATTTGACTGAACTGCAGTAAAATCAATTAAGATTTTTATGTTTACTTTTTATGGAGTTTAGAAGGACATGGTAGTCTCATATCCAAGTTTGCTAGTTCATTACTGTCATTCTATTTGAGTGTCATCGTGAAAGAGGAAGGAAAATATTGATTATAAAAGTCCTACGAATTGCAAAGAGCACACACTACATCACGGAGAACTCCTTTTTGAATTCCTGTTCTCTGGGAAATGCCTGCTGGCTAATGTTTTGGTTTGAGGGCTCCAGATATCAGGAAAAGAAAAACAAGAAAATTCAGTAAATTGGCTAAACAACATAGTGCTCACCTCCCCCAGATTCAGAGGCTAAATTTTATTCTGAAGAGAATGTCTCACAATACAACCTTGGCGGTCATATACTGAAAAAGTTGGTGGGGAAAAACTGTGAAGCTCTTCCGCAGTGAAGCAAAGCATAATGACAGCAAGTTTTAAATTTCCACCTAGCAGGCAAATTCACTATTCCAGTATCACCAACTGAAGTGTTCTGTGGTGAAACAGAAAACACCCCCATAAGCAAAAGAGAAGACAGATAAAAGGAAGCGAGGTAAAGTGTGCCAAAGTCAAGCTTGCACCAACGTTTCCCAATTTTTCACTTTCTTTTTAATAGTTCATAACCAACAGTGGGCAATAAGCCATCTACAAGATGAATCATACACTTTTACACACATAGACTCATTTTAATTTACACCTAAACTTCAGGAAACATACATCACTATGAAGTCCTTTAATAAAAATGACAGATAAATGAAAATAAACGACTTGATTTAAAAAAAGAAAAAAACAGATTTTTCACCTTTACTTTTAATGAGAGAATCAGAAGTTTTGTTCTCCCTTGAAGTTAAATATAATTTTGTGTTGTATCAAATGTTTAGCACCTTTCTCTGCAGCTCCGAAGCAGCCCAAATGTAATTTGAGCTAATTCATGAAATGTAGTTTGTGTAACGATATTTATTGCCTGTGAGATAAATACTCAAAATATATCAGATTTATTGATGTCTTGAGAAAGTGGCATTACGGCTGCTTAGAGTGAACCTCTGGGCTAAATGAATATTCAGAGAAGTGAAAGCAGACCGCTGGTATGTGCCTTAAGAAAAAACAACAACAAACAGAAAAATAGCCGGGAAAACGAAATTGCCTACAGTCTAGCTATTTTAGAGTGACGTGTTTAACATCGATTGCAATAGAGATCTGAATGTGGGTAATGCAGAAACCTTTTCTATAAAAATGGGCACAATAGAATAAGGATACGCAGAGTAGGATTTGTGTTATTTCGGTTCTCTTCTTAGAAAATAACGGGCAAACAACGCCTGAAGAATTTATGAGCAAAAAGCTCTTGAGTATGTTTTTATGGCATTGTAGAATGAAAGAAATCATGCTCAGTTCTCAGACAAGATCAAGACAGAAGGACGACCCTGACCAACGTGGTGACACCCCGTCTCTACTAATAATACAAAATTAGCCGGGCATGGTGGCGGGTGCCTGTAATCCCAGCTACTCAGGGGGCTGAGGCTGGAGAATCTCTTGAGCCTGGGAGGCGGAGGTTGCAGCGAGCCGAGATCGCGCCATTGCACTCCAGCCTGGGTGACAGAGAGAAACTCCGTCTCAAAAAAAATAAAAATAAATAAAACAAACAATAAAATAATGCTATGAGTTAAAGTTTGCAAATCAATCATTATTTTTAGAATTTGAAGGATGTAAAGGAAATAAATACTTTAGATAAGTTTGTTGCCTAAATGGCTTCATAAGAAATTAAGGAGAAAGCCCTCAACTGAAAAACTGTTGGTTCATTGGGTTTAAGTTACTCTTCACTAAATAGTAGTTTGCTTTCTACTTCCCCTACCCACACCCTTTGCGATATATCTAATTTCAGAATTGGTAGAAATATATCTAATATATTTTTCACTTAAGTTTTTAATTTTAAATTCACTCTTAAAATTTATATTTGTTTCACTTTCCAATCTGCTTTCTTTGTTTCTGTAACAGAGATACAATCCATTTCTTCATCTATGAAAATTCTAAACATTACCATTTAAGTTCTTTTTCAGATTTTTCTATTATCTGCAGTCTCAAGAGGATTTTCCTGTTGGTTGCATTTGGTTTTCAGTTTTAGCTTAGGGTGATGTGTCAGTTTTATGGTATCAGTTTCTTGTCCATTTTATAGAACTTTTTTACCTGTATTCACAGTAGCATGGAATTCTAGTTTCTCACAAGGGCTTCTGTTTCTATCTATAACTAAGGGTGGGTGCATGGCTTCCAGGAGACTCCCTTAGACATTAGATTTGGTAGTGGTTTTATCCAGGTTAAAAGATAAAACAACACTTCCACATCCCACAGTGTCTTAGACCCATTGGTACGGAAACCCAAACACCTAAGAAAAATATCCAGCCTGAAAGCCCTGAAACACCCCAGGCAGGCTGTGGTTCAATTCCGTGACTCTGCATTTCTTTTTCTGGCAACTCAAGATTTCCCTTTTCCTGTTTTTGAGCTTAGCCAAATATTTTGCTTTGTTTTGTTTTAAACAAGCCCTGTTTTATCCAGAATTCCATATATCTGGGATATAGACACAGCCGCCCAAGTCAGCTTTGTCTGTGGCAGGGCACCAAAGAGAGGCAACAACATTCCTGCCACTTTTTCTTTAATATCAATGTGGTTTTTACTTGTAAAAGCCAGTCCATGCAACAAAATCAGAATACATTCTACCAGCAGAGTGACAATGAAAAACATCAATTACTATGGGCCATGTTTCCTAGGCATGTGATTGTTCACATAATTTTAGAAGCTGAATTATGTAGATAATAAAGTTATCAGATAGCACTAATGTCTTAAGCCTGGAAAGAAAGAGAAGTACTACTCACTAAAAAGAAATTGTAGCCAGAGGATACTAAATAATAATATAGTTGTGTATGGACAGCATATTAAGCAATTGGTGGTGGTGATGTCTGGGAATTGGGGGATATGTGTGTGTGTGTGTGTGTGTATGTGTGTTTGGGAGATTTTAGTTTCATTCCGATTTTTGGTTTTAAGTTTTGTTTATTTGAATCAGCATCCTTTCTCCTGGCTGTTTTTCCATAGTCAGTCTTGGTTCACTGAGACTTTTTTCATTAAAGCAAGTAATAGTTTTCCTCTTCATTTTTTCTTTTAGACCAAGACTGAAATTGGCCTGCAGATCAAAGACCATGGCAAAAAATTCCTGACATTGGAAACTGCCTTCCAAAACATCCCTGTGCCTCATCCCTTTCTACACATTCCATATAAAGAGATTGTTTCATTTTCCACCTGGCAACGCTTAAATTGTTTTATTTTTCTTCATTAAAACCACCACGCCTCTTCATTTAACTCATGTTTTAGTACCTTGATTCAGCAGGATCATAAAAACTTTTATTTTTGTTGTCCTTGCTTCTTTTTGCCGCGGGGAGAAGTAAAAAAGAAACAAGTTAAAGACTATACAGTTAACCCTTCTTTAAAAATATATAACTAGATTTCTAAAGGAATGAAAAAATATGGTACTAGTGGGAAAACTGTGCAGGAAAATCTATATTTAACTTGAAATAACATAACTTTTTGTGGGAGTGTTTGACATCCTCTCATAGCTGCTAAGTCCCCTTGAGTCCTCAGTAAATATTAATTATGGATAATTGACAATTTCCGTCTTCTAATGGAAGCTTCAGAGGCAGTTTTGAAGTTTCCACTTTGTGCTAGTGCAGCCTTCAACACAGGCCTTTTCTCTGTTTTGGAATGTAAACAAGATATGCCTATAAGAAGTAAGTGTGCATTTGGGGGGTCCCCAAAAAGAAGTCAGATTTACATAGAATTACGCAGAAAGAAATCCTATGACAAACAAGAGAAATTGGTTTTTATGTCTCTTTGTTTTTAAAAGCAAAAGAATAATGCCAGATTCTAACCAAACATTCTGTGTTCCAAATACATTTTCCATTGTGTACCAAGTTCCTCTCATGTGAATGCTCTTACTGACCATCTTGTAAATGGCTTAAGTAGTTACAATCCCCTAATTAGAAGAATATAATGGCAGTGGCAAATGCCACCACAGTGCCTTAGCCTGTTTCCTACCAATTTGACTCGATCAATCTATTATGTTTGCTGTAAATCTAAATGCATAGCGATCAGTGAATGACATGAACTCATTGTCTCAGCTCAGTTTACAATTTTATTTTGTAATGGGCATAGATGCATTTTAAATGTGACACAAATATAAACATGTGTACATATGTGCCTATATATGTATATATGTTTGTTTATATGTGTGTATATGTAGACAGGTATGTATATACACAATATATGTACACTATGTATGCTATATATACTGTATATTATATACAAAGTTATTTTTGTTTTCCCAGAGTTGGAGTCTCACTATGCTGCCTAGGCTGGTCTTGAACTCCTGTCCCCAAACTATCCTCCTACCTTAGCCTCTCAAAGTGCTGGAATTACAGGCATGAGCCACTATGCCCTATATACAATGTTCCATATAAGGTATTTTCCTCATCGTTCAATCAAATTAAAGTAGATTTAGTTCTAGAATAGAAAGAAAACTATAATGTATTTCCACTGTGATTTTTTTAGTAAATAAACAAATTTACAGCAATACCTAAATCTGAATTTTTGAGATTTAATTTCTATAAATGTTCAGAAACATGTCTTTTGTTCTCAAACAAGATTCACCTTCATTTGTTTTCCTCATCATAAACTGCATACTTAAGTAAAAGACTCTGAACTTCTCTTCTTCAGGTATCAACCATATAACTTCAACCACATGGATTTCTTGTTTGTGGATTGCATATTTCAAATGGAATTTGTGCTTATAATCCAAAACTGTTGGTAAGAATTTAGGTCACTCTATGTACCCTGCTCTGCTGTGCTTAGTCAAATTTTCTCAAATACGAAACTTTCAATAAATAATATGAACTGATAGTCCCAGTTCTAAGAGTCAAATGGGACTAAAAAGCAAGAAAGAATACTGCCTGCTCATCTAGTCACAGGCAGAAATTGGGAAAATCTTGCTTATCTGAATTCTATGAAAACTCACTGTTAGCCACAGTTACACTTTTTATCTGTTTATCACTCCAACTCAGAAGAAAATATCCCATAGCAAACTTTCCTACCCAAGATAATATTAGTAAGAATTGTTAACGCTTACAGAGAGCTTACTACATGTTAGGAACCATTCTAAACCCCTTACACAATTCATCTCCTTTAATCCTCACAATCCTGTGAAGTAGAAACTATTATTTTTTCAAAATTTAGATATGAAGAAACTGAGGTACAATGATGTTAAAGTAATTTGCTGAAGACTACATAGATTGTTAGTGGCAAAGCCAATTTAAAAGAAAATTCCACTTGCATTTGTCACTCACATTAAGCATGGCATTATAGAAGGATCCAGGGTGCGACTGCAGTTTAGATATTACATGCCCATATGCACTCAGGGCCAGTACACTTAATGAAGACAGTCTAGAGTGAGAAAAGTGATGGGCCAAGAATCAGCCGACCTTGATTTCCAGCATCACTTCCAGCCTAGCGCCTGATCAGCATTTAACCTTGAACAAACCACTTAACCCCTGGGCCTAAATTCCCAATCTGCACAAGGAGAGATTAGATGTTCTCCAAGGTCCTTTTCAACTTCAAAACGTATGTCTCTATGATTAATGGCTGAATGAATGTCACATTGATCTCATGACTTGTGGGTGTGTTGGCCATGTTAATGTTAAAGCTACTAAAATGAATCTATCTGCTTTCTAAATAGAGATTCAGCCAGTTTCTTCAGTTTAACAGGACTAAAGAAAAGACTGTTTTCCAAAGCCGTGAGTCTCTGAAATTTTTACCAGCACCAGTAGAGATTTGCTCATTCATTTATTATATTAAACTAATAATTTTTGAGTTCAAGTAATGTTCCAGGCATTGTTCTAAACATTGGGCTACATGTTTAGAACAGAAGGCAAATATGACTTCTGCCCTCATGAAGTTTCTAGCAATATATATGTTTGTATTTGTGTATGTGTGTGTGTAAACACTCATAAATGATACAGGTTGTGATAAATTCCAGAAAGAAGGTGAAAAACTTTGCTATGACCCAGAATAGGGAGGAAAGCTCTTTTCATAGACTTTTTGGGGAAGTCTAGCACTTTCTTAAAAATTGGAATGAAATTGTATCTGTTTAGTAATCTCATCAAAATTAAGAAGACTTCTACGGTCATTTTGATTTCATAGACTATTTTTCTATTAGGGATTACGCATTAAATTTCTGAAATTTGTTAGAATGGAAGGCCCACCTCTATCACTTTTGTTCAGTTGTCCTCTGTAGTCCAAATTACTTGCTTAGTAAGGTATGGCTGCTAATAGCAACTCTTCCTTGAGGTTGTCTTGAGGATTAAATAAGATAATTGGTATACTGCACCTTTTATCAGCCATAGAAAAATAATAAACTATCAACAATTTTCAGTCATTTTATCTGTATCTGAAGATTTTATATTTATAAGGAAGATTGTCCTTCTCGTTATGTTTAAAATAAGTATGAGCCACCTTACGTACTAAGTTTCTAGGATAATTCTAAATTGCTATTGAGCTGAGTCAGTAAATGTTGTTTTTTAATTTATAAGACACTCTGGCAGTTTCTCAAACCTGAGCGGGCATTAGAATCACCTAGAAGACTTCTTAAAATATGAGTTTTGGGGCCCCAGTTGCAGATTTCTGATTCAATACCTCTGGGGTAAGGCTGAGAATTTGCATTTCTCACCATTTCCCAGGTGACGCGCAAGCTGTTGGTCCAGGGACCACACTATGACACAGCAATTGCATCCCGTTACATGCCAGGCACAATGTGAGGATCTTTGCATACTGTCAAATATCTGATTCTCAAAATCACCCTGCACTGTAGGCATCAGGACACCTATTTACACAGAAATGAGAAGAAACTTGGCTAAGGTTGCAGAGTTCCCAAGGAATAGAGCTGGGTTTGAGCCTCAGTTTGCCTGTCCCAGAGCTCATTACAACACGTACTGTGCATTGAAACACTTTCTACCTAAGATTTACTGACAACTCTAAATTGATTCCTTAGAAAGACTGGGCCCCAGCAAAATATCTACATGACCATGGTATTTCAGTTAGAAAATTCATAAATCAAAAGCAAACTGAATCTCAGGAGGCTCTCTGTCATGATCACATGTGCTGCCTAAAACCAAAAATTAAAGTCTCATGAACCATATAAAAAACATTGGCTTGGCATTCAATTTTCTTTGTTTATAAAACAAGTGTAATATTTTATTTGAATTTTGAAAAATATATCTCCATAGAGAAAAATGAGTCATTCTGGAGGTTAAATCCACTCCATTCTCATTTTTGTGAAATATAAGTTTAATTGAAATGTAACAACAAGCTAGAAAGATTTGAGCTGAGTGAATGATGTTTGCTTGAGTTTTGATGATACCTAGGTGAAAGTAAAGACAATAAGATATATCCCTCAACATTATTAGGATGGAAGAAAATTCATAAAATAAATGAGCTATCATTTTAGTTTTAATAGAAATGTCTTTTTCACAGCCTCACCTTATTCTTCGAATGCACATAAAATATAATGTATTGAAAGGAGAAAAGGCAAGATGAACTCCTTTCTTGGGGTAGTAGCCCTGAAACCCAGCACACTGTTGGCATCCCACAAAGTGGGAGCAGGCATTCCTGTAAGAAGGCTTTCCCCGGAGATGAATTCTTATTTGCACGTATCATTTACAGCTTTGCCATGTGGGTTCAGATGAAAATGGAACTCAGAGGGGGGGCATAATTAATTGAATCAACTCAAGTCCTCTGACAAAAAAACAGACAAGTGAAAACTATCAGAGGTTTTTAGAGCTTCCTGGTAAGCTTCCACTCACCAGGAAGACATTCTGACTCCCAAAATGTGTGAACCCATTCAAGTGCGCGAGCAAGTCAGACGTAGAGACAAACTCTGCATTTAGTATCTTTTGAAAGCATACTTGATTTTTTTAATCAAATGTGTTGCTTGTGTCCTCATTGGCACATTCTCTCACTCGATTAGTGACCATCCTCTTTGAAAAGCCAAAGCACCTACTCATGTAACCAAACACCACCTCTTCCCCCAATAATCCATGGAAATAAGAAAATAAAAAATTAATAAAATTGTCTCTAACACTCAAAATTAATAAATAAATAAAAGCCAAAGCAGCACCATAAAACTCCCCAAGCCAGAATGCAAAAAGCAGTCTTTTTTATTTTGCTCAAATCTTATTTCAGAACTTTAATTTCGATCATGGTAAACTAAAGTAATCAATCATTCGGCTTTTTCCTTTATTTGGAATTACATTGCTCCATTGAAGCCTATTATTTAGCTTGCACAAAAACTTTAGTTTTCTGTGACATGAGAGACATGTAGTTAAATATATGAACCCTGCTTAGAGAACCAAAAGGAAGGTCTCTTTTAGTGGAGGAAAGGGAGAAAAGTGAAAGAAACTATGGATGTTTAAAATTCTCTCTTTAATTTTAAGAACCATTGAGAGCCACCAACTATGTAAAAGTAACAGCAGGTGTCCTGAGATTAGAAAAGTAGGCACACAGAAACCCAGACATCAGCTGGAGCCACCTCAGTGAGGAGCAGTATTTCTGGAGAAAAGAAGGAAAGACATGAAGGCATGTGTGCATTTAATCAATAGTAATTAGGCATTGTTATCATAATGGAGATCCAGTGATACTTGAGGGTTGTCCCTGGCCTTGATGAACTCAAATCTAGTGACAGTCACTTACACAACCATGCATAAATCCAGGTAGAAGTGCCACTATCATATTTAAAAAGCAATGTCCCATTATGTGCCAGGTGCTTTATACACATCTGCTCAGTTCCACAAGTTATTGACAACCCCCATTTACAGGTGTAAAAACAGATTCCCGACTTGTCCAGGGCATATAGCTGATAAGTAGTGGAGCTCGAATTCTCTTCTTGCTCCCTCTGCTAAAGGAGAGGTTGGCCAGGCGCAGTGGCTCACACCTGTAATCCCAGCACTTTGGGAGGCCGAGGCAGGCGGATCACGAGATCAGGAGTTGGGGATCAGCCTGACCAACATGGAGAAACCCCGTCTCTACTAAAAATACAAAAATTAGCTGTGGCGGCATGCGCCTGTAGTCCCAGCTACTCAGGAGGCTGAGGCAGGAGAATGGCTTGAACCCGGGAGGTGGAGGTTGCAGTGAGCCGAGATCGCGCCACTGTTCTCCAGCCTCCAGCCTGGGCAACAAAGCGAGACTCCGTTTCAAAATTAAAAAAAAAAAGAAGAAGAAGGAGGAGGAGGAGGAGGGGGAGGAGAAGGAGGAGTGGTCTTGCTAGCTGAGACTTACAACATTGACAGGTAAGAAAGACAAGAAAGGTAAGGGAGATAAAAACAGGGGAGCAATATGTATGAAGGGCTTTCCATGCTGTGCTTTATATAAATCACCCTTCCTGTGAGGGCAGGGTAGAAGGCCGGGTCCAGAAAGACTCCACAGGGAAAGTTACATTTATGTTAGATCTTTAAACGAGTAGCATTTGCCTCATCCTGGTGTCTTCAGCTGAAGGAAACTCAAGAGGGTATATGGATGTGAGCCCCCTGGTTTGTCAAGAAGGCAGACTGCAGAAGCAAGGGGGAAAAGAGGAAGTCTGAAAAAATAATTGGCTGAGGATAAGTTTAAAGAACTTTGAATATCTTGCTAAAGTATTGGATATTATTCAGGAGGCAAAGCTGAAGATGAGGTGACGGTTAAAAAAAACAGTTGCAATTTATACCTTTTATACACTCTATCAACTCTAATACACAGATTAGAGTATCTAGGTGTTGTTCAATGGATAATTGTCAAGTTACATTGAAGGCTGTGCTACTGCAGTGTTAGTGAAACTAATCACTCTGATTTATGTAGGGCTTCTCTCTCTCAAGTGCCAGGCACTTTGAATATATTATCTATTATCTTTTTTCCTTACAACAATCCAATAAGATTGTCATCATTGTCTACATTGTATATATAAAGAAATTGGGTGTATAGAGGTTATGCAACCTCCTAAGGACAAACAGTGAATATGCCACAAAGCCTAGATTTGAAGGCTAGTTTCTAATTCTAATACCTCTGCTCTGTCTATTCTTCTGTGCAGTTTTTCCAGGTGCACTGATGGATTTGTACAAGTCTATTCAAAATATTTGCCTTCTCTCTCACTCCAATCTACCGTTCCTTCTTCCCTTAACTGTGACTTGAACAACCCACGTTGTTCAATGGCAGCTTAGGTTGGAGATGAAATATGTGATGGTGAGCACGGGGAAGGTAATTGACCCCTATGGGGATCAGAACTAGCACTTTGTTCTTTTCGAAGTAGTGAAAACAGATGCAGTGAGCAGGAATTTGGACTCTGAGTAAATTAAGGAGAGTTAAGGCAGAGAAAAGGGGCGTTAGTGCCAACATGAGATAATGATGACAGAACACCAGGTGATTCAAACATATCACAACGTACAAGTGACCCTCTGGTTTTGCAAATGAGAGCATGCACCTGAGTGACAATTTACTACCAAAGAGGAGCAGGGGAGTTGGGAATAGAAAGAGCCTTGACTTAAGTGAAGAGGAAACGAAGCCACAGAGGAAGTTCAGAAAAGGTTCCCAGGGAAAACTGTGGGAGGCCTGTGCTTGTTAGTTACTTCCAAACCATACACAGCCTAATACATGTGTTTGCTTAAACCCTTGTACTGTAGCTTCTTCCAAGAGTAAGTAAGAGGGACTCTGTGTCCACTAATAGCAAATGATGCTTTCAGTGTCAGAGTGGGAAAAAAATGAGAGGTTCAGGATAGACTGCTGGTATAAAAATCAAAGGCATATTTGAAAAAGTTAGAGGATATGAGAAACTATTACAACATTTAGGAGGGCAAGGGGGAGCTTTTTGTCTAGATAGTTATCTATTCCTTTTCATTTTTTCCTCTCTGGGATGAACAATCTAGGAGAATAAACCTAAAATAAACTAGCAAATAAAACTCTCTAAAAGAAGCTAAAAGAGAAAATGTTAGGAAACTGTCAAGTCTCAATCATAATTTTGACAAATAACATGTCCTGAAAGGACATTAGCTTTTCTCCAATTCCTTTACCAGTATGTTTTCTTAAAAAGGTATTTATTAAAAATCCACAAAATAAACCAAAAAGATCTTGTGAAAATGTATTTCCAAAGACAGGCTATTTTGTTATTACTTTGCTACTTGGAAAGGCATTATTTGCTTGAAATTTTACCTAGGCATAGGCACATTCTTTCATTCTTTTTTTAAATGCCATATAATATACTCTATTCCCAAGGAGTGGCTTTCCTGCCTTAAGAAAAAAATATTGTCAATATAAAAATATTCATGTTAGAATTTGCAGGGAGATTAAGAGCCGTCGAGGTCCACTTTAAATTTCAACTGACTAAAAAAACCAGCTCAGAGAGGTAATGATTTATATCCTGTCACAGTGACTTTAGTGGCAGAGAGGACATTGGGGCCTCTACGTACTGAATCCATGCCCACTTCTCTAGCCACTACAACATTCACAAACAATTTTGAACTTTAGAGAAACTATACTCATGAAAGAGTGTCCCCTTCACCCCAAAGGAAGATGGGAAACCTATTACCAGTCACTTCTGGAATAAAAAGCCAAGCATTAGGCCTCCAAATACTCATCTGACATCTAAAAGATGACGCAGATAATTTGTAGGAACCGAGGAGTAAATATTATATTTGTAGAAATACTACTCAGAAAAATATATACTTTAAAAGATTGCTGATTTTATAATTTACCTGCACAGTGTAAGTTTTTTCACAACTCCACCCATAAACCTTCAGTGCAATCACCCCGCCATAAACCCATTGCTTTAATGACAAAACAGCTTATAATTTCTGCTATTAAACATGAAACCTATTATTCCAAATAGATGTCTTCTTTATTTTTTTAATCTTAAAAATCAAAGGTCTATTTTTCCTCTGTGTATCCTGATTGGAATTTCAGAAGGAAGACATTAAGAATCCACAATTTCTTCACATAAAAATTGAGTTTTCATGTCAAGAAATCCGTGAACGATGATCTAACAGAGCTTCCCCTAGAGTACTAAAGAAGATGGGACCTTCCCTAAGTCAGCTTTAAACCATGAGAGCAGTCCATCTCTCTGGCTGTGTAACTGTTGAGCTCTCACCCTCTACCACAAGAGAAAGAAAATCACTACCAGCATTTGATCTGGAGTCTGCTCAGGGAATCCTGAGTTCTACATCCAACAGTGCAGATGGAGAACAGAAGGCTGTCGAGCGTCACCTTCTCTGAGGTGTCCACATTCTTTAATAACATCAGTTTCCCTGGTTTCTTTTCCTTTTGGCCAATAATGGGAGCAGACAAGCAGTGGCCATTAAGGTTTTCTCAAATGAGAAAACAGGAAATAGAAAGAAAGAAAGTCTTCTCCAAGCATGATGCTTCATAAACCCTAGTCCACATATATCCTCAGAAAATTAATGTGTCCCTGTTCTTCAGAGGCTTCTGCAAGAGGACCTCCAGATAAAGAAGTGTAACAACGCCATTACCAGTATCCCAAGCCATTACAGTCCATCTGCAATTTAACAGTTTGCTAAACTATCAGTTTCTTGTAAGGCGTTATAAAGAATTTTTTTCAGCAAATTCATAATCAGCAACCGAGCAAGCAGCAAGTCAGTAGTTGGAGTCCATGGTCTGAGTCTGTCCCATCTCTTGAGTCACCAGAAGTTCAGGTAAAACAACACCTGATGGGCAGTAAACATTCTCAGGAAACATAGAAGTATTGGCCATCCATTCATCATGTAAACACTCTGTTTGTTTTGAATTAAAGAAAAACCTCCCTTGAGTCATTCCTCATAAACAGAAGAGAAGACATTAAAGGAAACTATGAATAATCTGCTTTGGTTTGGAAAGGACATTGACAAAAAGCCAAAGAGCCTTTTTTCCCCATTTAATTGATGTTCAAAGCTGATTTGAAACAGGCCAACTACTTTCAAACATACATGTTAACAGACCAGTACACTCCTCACTTGAATCAAAATAATCCAACTGGTCTGGTCTACCAACTTCTTCTAGACTCACAGAACCTTGTATATCCTATAGCTCTGTATTCTGTTCTATAGAACCCATGGCCCTGCAGCTCTTGTTTGAATATCATGAGTAAACTGAAGCTTATTTTATCCCAAATTAATTTTTTCTATTATTAGTTAAATCAAATTGTCAAACAATTATTTCACATATTAAAACAAAATATAACTCTTACAGCACCCACGCATCGACCCTAAGTAAACTCTCCAGAGATGATTCTTCAAAATAGATCTACTTCTTTTACATGATAGATTTTCAAATATTTGAAGATAAGTCTCCTCTAACTAAATCTCCTCAACATGATGTGTCATTTTAGGCCACATTTGGTGATATTCTCCAGAACCTTCAATATCATATTATTATTTGCTTGTCCAGCAATGATTTGTAAAATAATGTACCAAAAGTGGAACACAATTCTCTAATAGCGGTTTTAATCCTTTAATCCAAGTAATGGTATTTAAAAGAGTAACTGATACTTCATAATCACTCAATACATATTTTCTATTTATTGGTTCTACTAATTTGGCACTAGGTGCTGTTTTAGGTATTGGGGATACAGCAGTAAACACAATAGACAAAAATCTGACTCCTTGCCACTTATGTTTCATTTGTTACTTGACTCACTAGAACATTGGTTGAAGTAGACCCAGAATTATTTGAAAGGTATTGAACTGCACAGGGTTGGAAATTAGAAGGCTAGCACTTGGTTAATATTTTTTAGCGGATGACATCTCATAAACTTGAGATCATTTACATTTCCTGCATCTTAAAGTAGCTGGATGATAAGTGAGGGTTAAACCTCCACTGGCTTTCCATTACCTAGGAAAAGGTAGACATAGCTAGAATAATTTGTAAGGCCCTCCACCATCTAGCTCTGATCTTTTTTCTTTTTTTCTAGATTTAAATCTTGACCTTCTCCTTTTGTTTCCAAATTGTTACCTATTTTTTTTCCAACACCCTGTGTGCAAGCAGACACTACATCCTCGCTGGTCCATCTCCCTAGAATTCCCTTACCCAGTTTCTCCTCCTAGGCAACACCTCATCTTTTCTAATTTGGCTCAAAATCCTAAATTGTCTTCACAATCTTCCTTGATCCATCCCTATTTCCCCCAAAACAGTTCATAGCTTCATCCTCTGATTCTAAAATATTTTATTTATGCCTCTCTTATAATACTGGTCTTCCCAGATCAATAATTCTTTACTTATCTGTCTACAGTAGTGTAATATAAGTTTTTTAAAGGCAGAAGTAATGTCGTAATCAGTGTTGTACATATAGAGTTCGAAAAACATGAGGCCTCTTGTTGTAAGTACACAATAATATTCATGAAAAGATAATTAATGAAACCATTTTGAAAATTATAAAATGATAATATAAATATAAGATTATTTTAATAAATGTTTATATAATTTATTGAGTCTACCATTTGATTATAGACGTCCAACTAACTGATTTTATGTGCATGTATGCAATTGAGAGCATTAATTTAAGAACCAAAATGGAATTGGTAAACAAAATAAAAATGAATTTTATAAGGATCATTAACAATAGTATTACCCTTATCATTACCTCAGTTTAAATAATTCCAATTAAAAAGTACTTCATACATTTCAAAGATTTACTCTAAAGTGCATTGGCAATCCAACCTAAGGATATACTCGTTAATTTTTAAAATAAATTCAAGTATTAATTGCGTATTGCTTATGAGGTCCCCCAAAATAATAAGTATCATTCAAATTAACAATGATAAGAAATAAATACCAAATGACACTCAAATACCTTCAATATATTAAAATAAATATCACCCTTCAGATAAAAGCATTTAAATATGTTAGATATATTTTCATTGATGATATTCTTTATAGCAATAACTCTTCAAACTAAGCAAAAAACATGATCAAACCCCAAAAATGCCAAGAAATGTATTATTTTAGGCTTATAATTCATTTTATCAGTATAAATGATAACAGAAAAAACAAGAATAATTAACAATTCTTAAAGTGTGAAGGTACTGAAAGAATATAGCCTAATAACCACAGTAGTTGAGAAAGAAAAGAGGAGACATTTTTCAGTAAATTCAGGGTAGATCTTGACCACCACTTTTGCCAGGTGCAAACATTACATACTGGTAGTGTGGCACTGAATGTCTTCACCCAAAAGAATCAAGGGCAGAGTTCAATGCCCTGAGCTGCCTTGAAGGCCACTCAGTTCTGTACACTCTGGTCCTGTAATAAATACAAATTGATCATCTGATTTTTGTTGATAATAGAGTGTATACTTCCCCACTGATTTTTGTCTTCACCTTAAGTTCCTTTCTCCCAGGCATGGCCATGGCTTTAGTTCCCAAGCTGATCTGAACTCATACTCTTTCTCATTCATTTCCTCCTGGTAAATGGGCTCTCAAAGTGGTGAGATTCATAGTTTCCTTGTACTCTCATTCCAGACTTCTCTGAAGGCAGATAACCGATTCCTAGATTTCCCTCTGTCAGGGAACAAAGACATCATGCTGCTGCCTCCTTATATCATTTGAAAGAGAAAGCTAATGCCAGAAAGGTACAAATGAAGTTTGAGGGCAACCTCTATAATGTATTTGTGACTGGTCCCTATACACATGGATCTGCTCTGCTTTAAGGCCACATAACAAAAAACAAAAACTCTAAGAAGCTATTAACAGAATAGCATTTTTGGCTGGGCACAGTGGTTCACGCCTGTAATCCCAGCACTTGGGGAGACTGAGGTGGGTGGATCACTTGAGCCTAGGAGTTCAAGACCACCCTGGGCAACATAGGGAAATCCCGTCTCTACCAAAAATACAAAAATTAGCAGTGTGTGGTGGCATGAGCCTGTAGTCCCAGCTACTCAGGAGGCTGCGGCAGGAGAACAGCTTGAGCCTGAGAGGTCAAAGCTGCAGTGAACCATGGTCACACCACTGTACTCCAACCTGAGCCAGACAGTGAGACCCTGCCTCAAAAATAAATAAATAAATAAATAAATAAATAAATAATATATATGGCATTTTCAAAGCTTAAAAATGTGAATTTATCTTAGCAAAGAGAAAAGCCTAAACTTGTTTAGAATAAAACACTAATGTTATACTTTAGCAAACGGGACCACTAGAGCTCAGTTAAATTTCCTTTGAGTTGATTGTTTTAGAAGCTTAAAATTAGGCATAGACTAGACTTATAACAGTGTGACAGTTAATATTGTAAACTTGACTGGACCAAGGGTGCCAAGATATTTGGTTGAACATTACTCTAAGTGTGTCTGTGAAAGCATTTTTGGATGAGATTAATGTTTTAATCAGGAGACCAAGTAAACCAGATTGTTGCCCTCCTTAATGTGGGTGGGCCTGAACCAATCAGTTGAAGGCCAGAATAAAACAAAAAGGCCAACTTTCCTGCTAGTAAGAGGAACTGCTCCTGCCTGACTGCCATGAGCTGGTACATCAGTCTTTTCCTGCCTTCAGATTCAAACTGAAACATTGGCTCCTCCTGGGTCTCAGGCTGGACGATCTTCAGACTGGAGCTACAACATTCGCTCTCCTGGGTCTCCTGCTTGCTGGCTGCAGATTTTGGGATGTCTGAGCCTCCACAATCATATGAGCCAATTCCTTGTAATGAATAAATGAATGATTAAATAAACAAATAAATAAATAAATACTATTGGTTCTGTTTATCTGGAGAATCCTGACTAATGCAAGCAGTGTTACCAATCTTTACTTAACCTTTCTAGCCATTCGTTTCCTCATCTGTAAAATAAGAGGCGTTGCTTAACTCTGAGCTTCTTTCAAACATCATGTAGTTTTCTAATTCTGTAAATGCCAAGTCAAATGATCCTTTTTATCTCTGGCTTTTATGGGATGAGAGCTTACCTTATGCCCCACACTGGACTGGTGGGTGTTACATGTATCTGCTTATCTCATCTCACAACAAGCTGGGGTGTTATTATTTCTTATTATTATAGGTGAGGACACAGAGACATTCAGTAAATTTCCCAAGATCTCAAAACCTGGAAGAGCCTGGGAAAGAACGCAGACTTATCGCCTTAGTAAAGTTAATTAAACAAACAAACAAACAAAAAATGAAATGAAAAAACAACTTGAGGAAAATATAAGAAAGTGAAAAGTAGTGGAGTTGGGAAGTAACTTCTTGATACTTAACCATAATTCACTAGGTCAATCACTCTCAACTTACTTTTCCTCCAGATTAACTTAGGTACTTCTCTCTCAAAAGAAGGTTCCAGTTTTAGGATGGTTATGACCGTTTTGTTGCTGTTGTCGTTTTCTGTCACCCAGGCTGGAGTGCAATGGCGCGATCTCAGCTCATTGCAACCTCCGCCTCCCGGTTTCAAGCCATTCTCCTGCCTCAGCCTCCTGAGTAGCTGGGATTACAGGTACCTGCCACCATGCCAGGCTTATTTTTGTATTTTTAGTAGAGATGGGGTTTCACCATGTTGGCCAGGCTGGTCTTGAACTCCTGACCTCAAGTGATCCACCCACCTCAGCCTCCCAAAGTGCTGGGATTACAAACGTGAGCCACCACGCCTGGCCCATGACCATTTTTATGCCCACTCTACCCCTTCAAGCTTTGACCCCAATCTCACTTGATAAACAGAAATTCTGCCTGTTAAAAAGAAGAGGTGAATGTGACTTCTGGCAATACTTTATTCTCATGCTTCTATTTCTCTTGTCCTGAAAATGTGTCTCCACACCTGGTTAACCAAAGCACTGTTTTAAGTAATGAATGAAAATATATGGGCATGTGAATGCGCATACACAGTATGTGTGTGGAGGCTTGTGTAACATTCTATTCTTCTCCTCTGAAGCATATTGATGAAAATGAGTGTTTTTACAGGTAGTCTTAAATTTTCCTGCACTTAATTGTGTACACAGTATATTTTGAGCAGACTTATCTACTTAATTTTGTTTGACTTAGAGTATTACTAGTGTTCACTATCCTCTTGAATTATTTCGGGAAGTGGAGAGAAAGTAATTTTGTTTGAAAATATGCCTGCACTCATCAACATATATGTAATAATAATGGCTAATATTTGTTGTATAGCAAACTGTATTATAATGGCAATATTTATGGTATAACAGGCTCTATGAAGCAAGTACTTTTATTATCCTCATTCTACAGTTGGGAAAACAAGATCTTATGGAGGGTTAAGTAATGTATATTATATCACATAAAAGCTGAGATTTAGCTAGTCTAGAAATTATACCTAAATTAAGGGAATGTAGTTTTCAGATAGGTTCAAGAAGCAGAATAATTACTAACTTTAGGATACACTCATTATGGACCCTATTCTGATTCTTCAGTGACTGCATGCGCAGCAAGGATCCTCTAACCTCTTCTCTATGAAATAGAATATTGTGTAAAACAAATGTTTTATGCTACTTCTTCTGTGCTTAAAATACACCTGCGTGTTATAAGGTGTTCTAGAGGGATCCAGGTTTACCAGGTAACTGTAGATACCAAATCCTGCCACTGTCAAGAGTCTTTAATAGAAGAGACACCCAAACCTGCTTCAACACTGCCCTATTTTCCATGATTTCTTAAAGATTCTAAATAGAATCCATCATTTGATAAGCCATGGGGAATAGTGTACTTTCAGATTGAGCAATTCTCCCATGAATAATCTAATTTGCTTTTCAGTTTGGAAACTCCCTCACTCACTGCTTCAGACTTTTAAGGGGTTTAGGATAGAAAGGAAAGGAAAGATTAAGTAAATACCTGAAGCAGCAACAACATTTTGGATATATCAAAGCTTCTACTTATTAGATTTAAACACAATGAATTTCCCAGAAAGGCAAAGAGGAGTGGCTCTAACTATGCCAGGGGGAACAGGAGTGCCAAGAGACCTGAGTGGCAGTTTGCTTGGCTCTGTGACAATGATTTTGCTCAAATGCTCCCCACCTTGCTTCCGAGCAGTGCAACAGCCTCGGTTCAAACAAAGCACTTACACAGCCTCACCTGTGGGTTGCCAACACCTCGCAGGGTGGAATCCTGGCTGTCAGACAAAACTCCGACTGAAAGTTCATTTCATAAATGCTTCCAAGTCAAAAAGCCATTTTTACTGGGCTGGTTTCAAGCATATCGCTGCCAAGACTTAAATTTCCCATCTCACACTGCCATCTACTGTCTAAGGTCCAGTGCTCTTAAAAAAAAGAAGAAGGAATGATACACCAAGCTTTCCAGGAGTCCAGGGCATTATTCGTGGATGCTCTTTTCAGAGTCCCTCTTGAACGGTAATCAAGTCTGATTGCTTTTATGTTCACCAATAACGCTATACTTCAGAGTCATATGAAATGCATGTGGACCAAAACCACATGCATTTGTGTGTGTGAACTCATGTGAGAAAAAAAAAATATAGTCTGTTTTAAAAGAATTGGAACCACCATTAGTTAGTATCCAGGGGAAATAGACCCAAGAGATCATGATTGAGAGTCATTGCCTCATTGTTTTAATTGTAGAAAAACAAAGCTGTCTCGAACTGACTGGACTTCATTGACATTAATGTGGTCTCATCCTACTAGACCTTGGCAGCTAACAAGAATCTTGAGAAATGAACAGTCAGGACTAGACAATGTCAGGATGCCCATCCAAGTCCAAGGGCGCCTTCAATCATCGCAGAACACTGATCCACTGCGGGCCTTGCATGTGCATTTCCTCCTTCCACCACTGATCATTTCCCCAAGACCAGGCTCTTTCACTTTTAGATAAATTGGCCCAAAACCCAGTGCTTCACTCTCTCCTTCATAGAGGGAGGGAATTCCCAGTCATCACTGCCACAAAAAATAAGCATTTTTCTGATATAACTGTATTTATCATTTATCATGCACCATCAATTAGTTGTTGTTTTGTTTTTTAAAGGGGCAATGGGAAGTCATAAACAAGTCTTGTATTAGAACTCCAAAGAGCTAGTCTTCATCATGACTTTGGCACTTAGCATAAGGATGCATGACCTTGGATAAGGCACTTGATGTCTGCAAACCTCAGCCTCTGTTTCTCTATTTGAAAATGGGGATAATAATTATTTCCCTTCCTGCCTTATAGGTTGAAAGAAAATAATTTAAGTAAGCTATACAACTTGAAATTTGCTAAGAGGATATATCTTAAGTATTCTCACCACCTCCTCATCGAAAAAAGAAAAAGGAAGAAAGAAAGAAAACTATCTGAGGTAATGGATATATTATGAGCTTTATTGTGGTGATTATACATATATCCATCAAATCATGAAATTGCACACCTCAAATATTTAGTTTTTAGTTGTCAAATAAGTCAATAAAATTTAAAAACTTACCAAAAAAGCTACACAGAAGTGAATGATCATTAATATTAACACTGTAACTTAACTCTGCATGCATATTTTTCCATTTAATTTAAGTGTCACTTCCAGTTGCACCTAGAATCTAAAGCTGTATCTTTCATGCAGCTGAAACATTTGTTGAATGACAGACTGATAGATTGATAGTCTCTGGAATTTCCTAGGAAATTCCACCTATCTACACGGAAGCACTTAAGTTCTCCAGAGAGCATTTACATTAATTGTCCAACTTTAAATAACATCCTGATAAATAGAAAAGAGCTCACACAGGGCAAAGCGAGATGTTTTTAATTGAAGTCCTTGTGGTACTTTTACTATTTTAATTTTCAAAAAGCATTTGCACTGCTATCAAATGTGTTTTTGAGAAGGTATACAAAATAGAACAAACTATAAGATAAATTTATTTGCTTTAAGTTGGAAAATAGCAAAACTTTCCTCGCTGAAAAACCACAACTGAGCAATAAGGGAAAAGTCAGAATTTCCAGAGAAGTAAAACTAAGACTTTTAGGCCACCCATTACAAAGCAAACCATTTTTAAAACCTTAAAAATAGCTCATTAATATATTTGTAAAAGAACACCACATACTAACAAACAAAAATAATTGTGTGCTTGGGTGCGGGGTGTGTGTGTGTGTGTGTGTGTGTGTGTGTAAGTATATGTAGGTTCCGAATATTTCAGGAAATAAGGATCTATGTTGATGTATGTAGATTCATTTCTTTCCATTTTGATTATAGTCACATATTTTCAAGATACTATGCATTAAAGTTAGAGTCAACAGCCATGAGATTGACAGAGCAAAAGAATGGCCTTTAATATGTTCAAACTGATGTCTCTGACTTAACACCACCATGCTTCTTGCTGAAAATATGTACTAAATTCATTCCTATTGCTTTCCCTTTAAACTAGTGAATTCTACTTTCCTTACCATTAATTAAGTCTATATACCATATAATTTAAGTAAGTTCATCTATGAGACTTTGGAGACACAAAATAGAGGAAAACCACAGGAAGCCAGCAGGAGGTCAGAACAATGCTTAGAGGATTATTCTGGCACAGGCTTTCCCTAAAGGGGTCAGCTAGTGATCTAAGAAGGCACCACTCTGAGCTTTGCAGATGCGAGACTGAATCCTGCACCTCAGAACTACAACTGGGTTAGTTTTTACTCTGGACTTGGTAGTACTTTCAGATGGAGGAAATCTGCCTTGGGGAAGAGGGTAGAGCAGTGTCTGTACCAGGCGTCTCTCACATTACAGTGTGGGCCTTGGACTCCCAGGGAGGCTTGTTAAAACATAGGTTGCTGGAGTCTCTGCCCAGTAGGCCTGGGGAGGGGCCTAGTATTTGTATTTCAAGCAGCTTCCCAGGTGGTTTTTTCCCAGGCTGATTTTCTTATATTTCTCTGTCTTCTTTTTTAAAGAAAAGGGAATCTGTCTTTTATTTCTAAGGCACCACTACATGGCCTAATGTTCACTGGCACATACTAGGAGCTCAATAAAAGTTTGTAGAATAAATGAATGTTTAAGTAAATTTAAATGCATAAAAATATAAATGAATGATGTAATCAACTAAAGTTCTATGTATGCTGGAAAAATAAATATAGATGTATACTGGAGGAAGTTCCAAACATCTTTTGAGTACCTACTATGTGTCAGGTGCTGTGCTAAAGAGCTAGTTATATGACAGTAAAAAAAAAAAAAAATAGATTCCATTTGGATCATCATTTAGTTTGTAGTCAAGTGGAGAAGATATACAGCTATGCATCACTTAGCAACAGGGGTATGTTCTGAAAAATGTGTCCTTAGGGAATTCTGTCATTGTGGGAGCATCATAGAGTATATTTACACAAGCCCAGACGGTATAGCCTACTACATACCTAGGCTATGTGATAGAGTCGGTTGCTCTTGAGTTACGAATCTGAACAGCGTGTTACTGTGCTGAATACTGTAGACAATTGTAACACAAGGGTAAGAATTTGTGTATTTAAACATAGAAAAGGTGTAGTGAAAATCTATACCTTTCGTACTTATAAAAGATTTTTATATGGTACATCTGTATAGAACACTTCCCATGAATGGAGCTTACAGGACGGGAAATGGCTCTGGTAAGTCAGTGTGTGAGTGGTGAGTGAACGTGAAGGTCTAGGACCTTACTGCACGCTACTGTAGACTTTATAAACACTGTACATTTAGGCTACACTAAGTTTATTTTTAAATATTTTTATTTCCTCAATAATAAATTAACCTTAGCTTACTGTAGCCTTTTTGTGCACTTTTTAATTTTTTAAACTTTTAGACTCCTTTGTAATAATACTTAGCTTCCCACACAAATGCATTGTATAGCTTTACAAAAAAATATTTTCTCTTTATATCTTTATTCCATAAACTTTTTTCTAATTTTAATTAAATTTTTCTTTTTACTTCTTAAATATTTTTGTTAGTTAAAAATGAAGACAAATACACACATCAGCCTAGGCCTACACAGGGTCAGGATCATCAAGATCTCAGTCACCGCATGCTCTCACTCATAAGTGGGAGTTAAACAGTGAAAACACACGGACACAGGGAGGGGAACATCACACCCCGAGGCCTGTTAGGGGGTGGGAGCCAAGAGGAGGGAGAGCATTAGGACAAATACCTAATGCATGCGGGGCCTAAAACCTAGATGACGGGTTGATAGGCGCAGCAAACCACCATGACACACGTATACCTATGCAACAAGCCTACATGTTGCACATGTATCCCAGAACTTAAAGTAAAAGAAAAAAGAAAAAACAAAAAGATGCCACTAGGCAGTAGGAAATTTTCATGTATCCAGGAACTTAAAGTAAAAAAAAAAAAAAAAAAAAAAGATGTCACTAGGCAATAGGAATTTTTCAACTTCATTATAATGTTATGCAACCACTGTCATACCTGCAGTCCATCATTGACTAAAACATTGTCATGTAGTGCACAATTGTACATTAAAGACATAATTACCAATGTCTAAAATAGATTGTGACGGAGGAGCACACGGTGCATGGAAACTCAGGCATGCTGCAGTGGTATGGGCAACTGTGGAAAATTTCTTTGAGCTCTGAACAGTAAGTGAGAATTATCCAGATTTAAATTGTAAAGATGTGAATATGAAAATGAAAATTCACTTTTACATGAAATATTTGAATATATCATATAAATCACGTTGATAGTGCATTTGGACCCTGCAGCAAGAAGACCGCCTGTTCTTTCAAATGTTTTCAGGCCAACAAATATCAGTGGTCTATAAGAACTCTGGATTTTTGTTGGTTTTATAAAAATTAAAACATAGAAGAAATCCAAGTTTTTAGTGAGTGACTATAAAGAGAAAAGGAACAACAGTGAAAAGAGTAGTAACATGTTTGTTGTAACTGGCATTTATCATCTCAAATATTATTAAAGCATGGATTACCTCAATTGCCCTAATTATATGTTCAGAATGAGCTATATCTCTTGTTAAGAGTATCAGAGTAAAATAAAAGCATAATGAGTTTAATTCTATCATCACTTTGGCTCTTGCTGGGTATAACTTAAAAGTTTATTTAGAACTGAGAAAATGCTACTTCCAGGGAACATTTTTCAGAAAAAAAAAGATATAATAAAAGTAATCACGTGACAGTCCTCCATAAAAAGAACTTCACTTATTGTAAAAAGAAAATTTTAAGCTAACATTGGCTTACATTTTTTAAATCATGCAATTCACACAAATTTATTCTCTGGACAGCTGGATGTTCCATTGTTTCCAAATGAAAATAGTAGATTGTTTGCACCTGGTTAACTTAAAGGCCATTAAAAATAAGAAAAATATAAATTTGGAATTTTAAAATAACTATATGTATTTCTGCTTTTATATCTTCTCAGAATTTTAGCGATATTCCCATAACCCACTGTATAAAAATAAATTAAAATATTTTAAGACTTCTCTGTGGAATTACATGAACAGGAATAAATTTCAGACTCCAATTACTTGAAGGAGCAATCATCGAACACCTGTTGGAACATGGCACGTGGTTATCCACTGGGTGATTGCGGTAGCATTTAGGTTGCAGCCAAAAGTACACAAATACATAGAAAGTAAGAAAGAGCATGATGTACTCAAGAAATTAGTATGGCCTCAAAACAAGGTTGATGTGGGTAGGAAGTGGTTGTTGACTGAGGAAAATAACCTGGAGAGGGAAGTAAAGACCAGATCACAAGGCATGTTATAAGTCATGTATCCTAGCTTGTGTTTTCCCAAGAGTGAAATACAAGACAGGCCTTGGATACAGGTCATTTATTTAAGAGTTAATTTCAGAATGCACAAGCAAGGAAGAGGTAAAAGAGAGATAAGGAAAGAAGATAAAACAAAACAAAACAAAAAACAGTGTGTTATTGAGCTGGTCATGATTATTGGCAATGGGTCTCAACCCTACATGCCTACATGGCATCCCTCTGAGGTACCAAGTGTAGTCATGGCCTCCAGTGGCCTCAAGGGTCTAAGAAGAATCCCAGTGAAGGCTGGGAGGCTGGGGTGGTGGGAGAGACTGAAACATCTATCCATTGATGCCATCCTCCATTGTATGAGAGTTGCCCCAGGGGAGCCACATTGAGCGATGAGCAGCTCCACGATGTAGAGAAAGCCCTGATGTAGAGACAAAGAAAAATCATTTAACTCACATAGGAAGCCAGTGGCTTCTGAGAAACTGCCCCTAACCTCAGACATGCTGATGGACACAAATTATACGGGGCTAGATTGTGCATTCATAATGTCTCCCACCTCATGTGACTGTTTACATGTTACTGGTTTTAAGCAATGAAGGGACACAATCAGATTGCGATTTGGCAAGTTTAATCTAACTGTAGTGAAGCAAAGAGATTGAAGCTGAGCATAAGAAACAATGACCAGGCCGGGCACGGTGGCTCACACCTGTAATCCCAGCACTTTGGGAGGCCGAGGTGGGAGGATCATCTGAGGTCAGGAGTTCAAGGCCAGCCTGGTCAACATGGTGAAACCCTGTCTCTAGTAAAATGCAAAAAAATTAGCTGGGCATGGTGGCGGGTACCTGTAATCCCAGCTACTCAGGATGCTGAGGCAGGAGAATCGCTTCAACCCAAGAAGTGGAGGTTGCAGAGAGCCGAGATTGCGCCATTGCACTCCAGCCTGGGCAATAGAGCAAGACTCCATCTCAAAAAAACAAAAAAAAAAAAAAAAAAGAAAAGAAAAAAAAGAAACAATGACCAGTTGGAAAAACAAATACATAAAAATGATTCTAGACAGGAAGAAGTAGAGGGATTCATGTGCGATTTTGGAAGCAGAATGGACTGAAGGTAAGAAGTACATTACGGGGATGATGGATAAGGACAAGTTAAGGATGACCCTGAGCTTTCTGACTTCTACAATGGAGGACAGTGATTCCATTCAGAAATAGGACAAGGGATCAACTGGGTTTCCAAAGTACAGCAACAAGAAGATACATCCATTCTTCATGTCATTTAGTGATTCAACGATAATGTTTTGAGGACCTGCTGATCTAGGAACTAGAGATTCAGCAGTGAAAAATATAGACAATATCCATACTCTCCAGAGTTTATATCCATTTGGAATAAAAACAAAGCAAGCAAATAAAAAGATAAATAAATACAACAATTTCAGATATGGACAAGTGATATAAAGATCATAAAAGAGGAGGATGAGATAAAGTGTAATGAGAGTGGGTTGAGCTCCTTTGGAATGAGTGTTCAGGAGAGACCTCATGAAGAGGCGATATCTGAACCAAGGTCGGAGTAACACAAAGGAATCACAGGAATAACTAGGAGAAAACTATTCCAGGCAGAGGGAAGAGTGGGGGCCAAGGGTAGGATGAAAGCTGGCACACCCAAGGAGCAGAAGGAGACCATATGGGTGAAGTTTAGTGAAACCAGGTGAGCCTGGCATGAGGTGAGAGCAAGAAGGAACCACAGGGGCAGATCATGACAGGACTAGAGACCAGGAAAAGGAGACTGGATTTTTATTTCTAGCATTAAAAAAATCATTGGTGGTTTTCAAGCAGGGAGATAATGCAATTAGATTTCTGTTTCTTAAAGGTCACTCTGGATGTTTTGGGGAGAATGGATTTTTAGACAGGCAAGAGGAGACACCTGGGAGATTGATTAATAATGAGAACTAGCTCTAACATCGCTAAGACACTGCTCTAAGTGCACTGCAAGGGTTAATTTATTTAATCCACACAGCAACTCTACAAGGTATATATTATTTTTACTCCCTTCTACAGATGAGAACATACATGTTTCATAACTTGCCCACTGTCAGGAGGTAGCCTGGCTCCAACCCTGTGCTCTTACAAACTATGAATCTTACCATCAGATATGAGGCACAGTGCTTGTCCAGGCCGAAGGTGATAGAGTGGGTTGAGTGACTAGAGATTGAAACCAAAGTCAATTCAGGGAAAACTGTGATAGGCTGAGGTCCAATCCAATATGAGGTTCATCTCACAAACACCTAATGTCTTCTTTATTCCTCTTATGCATGGGTTGGTACACTTTATTGACTTTTGGACAGATTATTAAACTGGAAGAAATTTTCTGGATTTGAATTATTTAGTTAGGTAAAAAAGTAAAACATTCAAAATTATCTTTAACAGTTTTCAGCATTGACAAAATCCCCATAGTTCTGTAGGTGGAGAAGACAGAAACATTAATTGAACATGGTCAATATTCTTAAGAAGTTGGTACTAGCGAAAGGGATGGTAATGCAAACAAATTTATTATGGTGAGTGACCCGGCAAATAAATGTTTAATAACTGGCACTTGGGAGTGAGGGAACCCTTTATTTGTAGAGTTTGCCAATTTGTGTGATTTCAAGCTGCTGATGGTACCTTAACTGACTCAAAGAATTCCAGAAAATTTAATATTCGGTTCTCTTGAACCAAGGCAAACTAGCTCCAGTACTTACAGTACAGTGTGAAGAATGTGGAAGAAAGGTGTTCAACAGAGGATCTAGGACCCCAGAAAGAATCCTGACTGATTATGCCCAAGAAAATCATGCAACACTTCAATGAGGCAATGGCATTTGAACACGGTCTTTAAGAAGGGAGGAGGAAAACTGTCAGTTTATGTATAGTCTATGGCAGCTCCAGTTTACATATTGTCCGTAGAAGATTTCTACTACAATGGTAACATCATGTAGTTATAATAAAGACTACAGGGACCACAAAGCCTAAAATATGTGATTCTTTCCAGAAAAAGTTGCCAACCCTTGCAGTAATCAATGACAACAAAAATCAATTAAACCCTTAATAGAGAAATGTCTTTGACTTTCAACACACTAATACAACTTCTTCCATCCCACTCTCTGCTGATGAGCTTGCTTGAGATTTTACTGAGACACTGAAGCAGTCAGAGCACAGTATCCTTGCTTTTCCTCCTGCTACCATAGGCAAATGATCATCGTGCCTATCTAGAGCCAACCTTTTCATTTGTATGCTACAGACCCACCCCTCAGGCTCACCTAAGGTCACTGGTCCAAGTATCCAAGCCTCTCTCTTCCCTGCATCATCGGGTTTTTCCTCTCCACTGAATCATTCTGATTAATGTACAAACATGCCATTATTCTCATTTATTATTATTACTATTATTATTATTGTAAATAACATTTGACATGAGATCTACCATCTTAAATTTTTAAGTGTATAATACATTATTTTTTACTGTAGTTACAATGTTGTACAGTGGATCTCTAGAGAGATTATTCATCTTGCTTGACTGAAACTAATACCGATTGATTCATAATTTTCCATTTTCTGTTCCCCACAACAATCACCTTGCTACTCTTTGATTCTATAAATTTGACTATTTTAAACACCTCATCTAAACGGCATCATGCAGTATTTGTCTTCCTGTGACTGACTTATTTCACTTAGCATAATGTCCTCAAGGTTCATCCAAGTTGTCACATTTTGCAGGATTTCCTTCCCTTTTTAAGGTTCAATGTATTCAATTGCATGTGTATACCACATTTTCTTTACCCATCCATTTGTCAACAGACATTTAGATTGTTTCCACATCTTGGTTATTGTGAATAATGCTGCAATGAACATACGAGTGCTTATATCTCTTTGACATTCTGACTTCAATTATTTTGGATAAATACCCAGAAGTGGAATTTCTGGATCATATGGTAGTTCTATTTTTTATTTTCTGATAAACCGCCATACTATTCATTCCTATCAACAGTGTGCAAGTGTTTCAATTTCTCCACATCCTTGCCAACACTTGTTTTTTGGTTTTACTTTTGATTCTAGTTATCCTAAGAGGTGTGAGTAGATAACTCATTGTGGTTTTGATTTACATTTCCCTAATTATTAGTGACATTAAGAATTTTTATATACCTATTGGCTATTTTATGTATTCTGGAAGCATCACAATTCCTGATGTTAAAATTCATTACAAACCTATATCATTAATGAAAATGATATAGTACTGGCATAATGACAGACTTGTAGACCAACAGAACAAAACAGAATATCCAGAAAGAAAATCACGAATATATGGACAACTGGTCTTCTAAAAGGGTGCTGAGAATATAAAATGGGGAAAATCTCTTTAAAAAAGGGTGTTGGGAAAACTGGATATCAATATGCAAAAGAATGAAATTGGACTTCTGTCTTACACCATATACAAAAATCAACTCAAAATGGGTTAAAAGCTTTAAACGTAAGACTATACATATTCTCAAAAAACATAGAATGGTCATGATATTTCTCTTGACAATAATTTCATGGATATACCACCACAGCACAGACAGCAAATATAATAATAAACCAGTTGAACTTAGGTCAAACTAAAAAGCTTCTGTACGGTGAAAGAAACAATCAACAGAGTAAAAAGGCAATCTATGGAATTGGAGAAAATATTTGCGAACCATACATATCTGATAAGAAGTTAATCTCCAAAATATATAACAAACGCCTACAACTCAGTAGCAAAAAATAAAACTACTAACCCAGTTAAAATCAGCTAAGGACTTGAAGCAACATTTCTCCAAAGAACACATTATACCATATTTTAAAAACAGTCTGCTCCCGGCCGGGCACAGTGGCTCATGCCTGTAATCCCAGCACTTTGGGAGGCCGAGGCGGGCGGATCACGAGGTCAGGAGATCGAGACCATCCTGGCTAACACGGTGAAACCCCGTCTCTACTAAAAACACAAAATAATTATCCGGGCGTGGTGGCAGGCGCCTGTAGTCCCAGCTACTCGGGAGGCTGAGGCAGGAGAATGGCATGAACCCAGGAGGCGGAGCTTGCCGTGAGCCGAGATCGCGACACTGCACTCCAGCCTGGGTGACAGAGTTAGACTCTGTCTCAAAAAAAAAAAAAAAAAAAAAAAAAAAATCTGCTCCCAATCCCCGATTCAGCTACCACCTCTTTCTCTTATCCAGTTTCCCCAACACCTTTTATTGAAAAGACTTTCCCCATTTTATATTTTTGGCATCCTCTTAGAAAGACCCTATATTTGTGGTTTTATTTCTGGGCTTTCTATCTTATTTCATTGGTCTATATGTCTCTCTTTATGCCAGTACCATATTGTTTTGATTACTACAGGTTACTCCTCTTTTTTTTTTTTTTTTTTTTTGAGACAGAGTCTCACTCTGTTGCCCAGGCTGGAGTGCAGTGGCACAATCTCGCCTCACTGCAACCTCTGCCTCCTGGGTTCAAGCGATTCTCTTGTCTCAGCATCCTGAGTAGCTGGGACTACAGGCACATGCCACCACACCTGGCTAATTTTTGTATTTTTAGTAGAGACAGGGTTTCACTATGTTGGCCAGGCTGGTCTCAAACTCCTAACCTTGTGATCCACCTGCCTCAGCCTCCCAAAGTGCTGGGATTACAGGCGTGAGCCATCGCGCCTGGCTGGTTACTCCTCTTTTTACTTCAAATTCCTCAAAGGAGTTGTTCCTGATTTGTCTCTTGTTAATCTCTATTGTATCCACTTCACTCAAATTTTATCACTCCATCCTTCTTACTCTATCAAAACTGCTCAAGGTCAACAATGACCTTCACATTGTAAACTCAGTAGCTAATTCTCAGCTATGCTATGGTGTGCATGTTGGTGTTCCCTCAAAATTAATATGTTAAAACCTAACCCCCAATGTAATAGTATTAAAGAGTGGGGCCTTTAGGAAGTGATTAGGTCATGAGAGCTCTGCCCTCATGGATGAGATTACTAACTGTATATAAGAAGCTTGAGGAAGCTCCAGAGCCCCGTTATACCCTTCTACTATGTGAGAACAGAGCAACAAGGCACCATCTTTGAGGCAGATAGTGAGCTTTGCCAGACACTGAATCTGCTGGCACCTTGATCTTGGACTTCCCAGTCCCCAGAGCTGTGATACATAAATTTCTATTGCTTATGTTGCCCAGACTATGGTTTTTTGTTACAGCAGCTCAAATAAATGGAGACACTAGAAGATACGGTTAATCACTTCCAATTCCTTAAAGTACTTATTCACCTGACTTCTAATTAACCATACTCATTTG